>NW_018654712.1:0-135987 GCF_000001405.40 Homo sapiens | reverse complement strand
GTTAATCCAATTATATGGAAATGGTAGTTTTTAAAGAAAACAAAACTCATGCTGTGTTTTGGCAGAAAACTTAGTAGAGTAGATGAGAGGCTTCTTTTCAGAAATCACTGGTTCTGGTCATGTAAGTAATTGAGTTTACATAAACTGGTGTTTGGGAGGTGAACAGTTCAGTTGGCACTAGTTGCTATTTTACACAGGTTCCTCATGTAATTGGGGAGGGTACAAGCCGTCTGAGAGCACTCAAGCCGACCCTCGGGACTCTGATACTCCAGCTGTTGGTTGAGTGTCTTTGTTATCTTTTCTGCTGTGTCTCTCCTCCAAATGCTTAAGTGCTATTTACTTGAGACCACGTTCTGACTTATTTGATTTAGCTACATAGGGACAGCGCTTTAAGATCCAGCAACTTATCTTAGGGCAGAAGAGATTTTATCAACGTTAGGTGAAATTACTCCTGTAAATTTGCAGTTAGGCATCCTAACCAAATCAGAATGACCATCAAATTAAAGTTTCTGGAAGGCAGAGAAGCCAATCTGTTTCCCTCCAGTTTATTTAGTTCCTTTTGTTTTATCCATCATCATCATCATTGCGTATTTTCACAAGAGACAATGTTATTATTAACTTTTATATAAAGGATGAATCAACAATTAGTTTTTCAAATATACATTTTATTTTAGGAGGTTTTCGATTTACCAAAAAAAAAAAATGCGAAGATAGTCCATCTGTTCCCCCATGTCCAAATCTGCATTTCTCTATAATTGGCATCCTATCTTAATATGTCATATTTGCCACAATGAAGTAACCAGTATCCATTCGTTATTATTAACTAAAGTCCATAGTTTATACAGATGTCCTTAGCTTTTCCCAAAGGCTTCCCTTATTTGGGGACCTCATCCAGGACAGCGTGTTACATTTAGTCCTCATGTCTCCTTGGCTTCTCTTGGCTGTCCCAATTTCTCAAGCTTTCTTTCTTTTTGATGGCCTTAACAGTTTTGAAGAGTACTGGCCAAGCGTTTTATAGGATATCCTTCTACTGGGATTTGTCTGATGTGTTTCTCATGGTTTCTACTGGGTTATGGATTTTTGAAAAGAACACAGAGGCAAAGTGGTCTTCTCATCACTTCACATCAAGGGTACGTGGTGTTGACCTTGATCATCAGGCTGAGGTTCTGTTCGTCAGTTTTTTCTACTGTGAAGTTACTCCCCACTCTTTTCTTGCTATGTTCTTTGGAAGAAAGCTGTTATGCACTTTGGAAGAAAGTTGTTACGGGTACTTAGGGAGTGGGGGAGTTATGCCCCGTTTCCTTAAAGGTGATCTATATAAATTATTTCAAAACTTTCTGCATAGGATATTTGTCCGTTTCCCTCATTTATTTATTTATGCAGTCAGCTATTTACATTGGTATGGAATCATGAATATTTATTTTATACTTTGGACTATAACTCAATACTATTTTATTTTTTGTTGCAAAGACAAAATGGTTTTGGTCACTGTTGGTTCGTTCGGTTAGTGCTGGTGTCCCTTTGACAGACCCCTGTATTGCATGAGTGTGCAAGTCTGTGTGCATTGTGTACTTTACTTTCTGGAACTACAAGATGCTCAGAGATCATCTTGGATGTTTCTTTCCACAGTCCTAAAATTATTTAGCCATTTCTCCAAAGAGCTCTGGTTCCTTTGATTGCAGAATGGCATTAGAAAAGAAGATTTGGGTGATAGGTATGCTTGTTGCTAGTGAGGAGTCCTTTGCATGTAAGCTTTCTTAGCTGAATAAAGAAATCCAGGGCTGGGCCCAGTGGCTCATGCCTGTAATCCCAGAACTTTGGGAGGCCGAGGTGGGTGGATCACGAGGTCAGGAGATCAAGACCATCCTGGCTAACACGGTGAAACCCCATCTCTATTAAAAATACAAAAAACTAGCAGGGCGTGGTGATGGGCGCCTGTAGTCCCAGCTACTTGGGAGGCTGAGGCAGGAGAATGGTGTGAACCTGGAAGGCGGAGTTTGCAGTGAGCTGAGATCACGCCACTGCACTGCACTCCAGCCTGGGCAATAGAGAGAGACTCCATCTCAAAAAAAAAAAAAAAAAAAAAAAAAAGAAATCCATGTATGTATACTAAACCATGAATATGAACATGTATAATAGTAATATCTCTATACACAATCATCTGTGTCTATATTATGAATTCATGCTAACGTCTGCAACTCTAATCCACCATTACGTGGATTCTTCACCCTCTTCATAGCTATAGGCTTCCAGCACTGAGAAACCTGGGTCTCACATTTTGCCATACATTAATTTAGTCATTTCCAGTATTTATATAAGGTTTCAGAATTGTTGACCTGTATGCATATGGAAAATATTATCAGCTAGAATACAGTGCCTATGCACAGGTCTGTTTTTCTGGTAGTTTTTTTGTTTGTTTGTTTTTTATTTTTTGTTTTTTGTTTTTTTTTTTGAGTCTTATGATTTCCACTTACTCAAAAAGTTACTTAGGTCAACACCTTTATCTCCACTCACCTCAGTAAAATGGTTTCACACATTTCTATTTATTGCAGTTAGATTATTCTGTCAGTTTCTTATTTCCACACTAGGATTTCCCTACTCTTAATTATTTTAAGTTTGCATGCATTAAGGTTTCCTTGTGCTGTAAAGTTAAAAAATGCATAATGTCATGTATCCACCATTAGAGTATCATACTATATATATACACACACACACACACACACACACACACGTATATATATATATATATATATATATATATATATATATATATATAATATCCATAAAAAAATCTTCTGAGCTCCTCATCTTTCACCCTCTTGGGCCCCCGACAGTCATGGATCTGTTTATCATCTCAGTCTCTACAGCTTACCTTTTCTAAACTGTCATATAAAATCAAATAATATGTAGAATTTTCAGACTTCCTTCTTTTACTAATGTGTATGAATTTTGGAATCATCCATGTCTTTTCATGGCTTGGCAGTTTATTTCTGATTGTAAAATAGCACTCCCTTGTTTGTATATTTGAGAATTCATTCATCTATTAGAAAACAGATATTGTATTGCTTCTAGTTTTTAGTAATTATAAAAATAGCCACTATAAACATTCACACACAGGCATTTGTGTGAATATAAATTTTCAATTTGGTTAAGTAAATACTTGGAAGTGTGATTGTTGAATTGTGTGGTAATAATATGTTTAGCTTTAAAAGAAGCTGCCAAACTACCTTCCGAAGTGGATGTAGCATTCTGCAGTACCACAGCAATGAATGAGAATTTCTGTTGCTTCTCATTCTTACCAGTAATTGGTATTGCCAGTGTTTTGGAATTTTTACTACACTAACAGGTGTGTAGTGCTATTTCTATCTTTTTTAAATTTGCAATTCCTTCATAACATCTAATGTTGAATATCCACTCGTTCTTACTTTTCATCTGTATATTTTCTCTGGTGAGGCTTACGTTTCTATACATTGTCCATTTTAATTGTTTGTTTCCTACTGTTGTTTTAGTGCTCTACCTATATTTTGAATACAAGCCTTTTATTAGATGCGTGTCTTACAAATATTTCACCCGGGCTATGGCTTTCTTTTTTCATTCTCATAACAGTGTCTTTTACAGAGTAGAAGTTTTAAATTTTAGTAAAGTCAAATATTTTTTCTTTCACAGATAGAGCTTTTGTTTTGTGTCTCAAAACTCATCATCAGGCTCCCAGTCATGTAGATTTTCTCATTTATTTTATTTTAAGTATGTTACAGTTTTTACATTTTATATAATCCTATAATCCATTTTGAGCTTAATTTTGTGAAAGGTATAAAGTCTATGTCTGGATCTTTTTGTTTGCATATGGATGTCCAATTGACTCAATACCTTTTATAGAAAACATTGTCTTTTCTCCACTGAATTTCAGTTGTGCCCGTGTTAAAAATCAGTGAAATATATTTGTCTTGGTCTTTTACTTGGCTCTCTCATGTTCCATTGATCTACTTGTCTATTCTTTCACCAATACAATGTGGTCTTGATTGCTGTTGCTTTTTCGTAAGCCTTCTATGCTTTGATAGTGTGGGTCATGGAATTCCTCCAAATTTTTTATGTTTCTTCAGTATTATGTTGTCTAATTTAAGTTTATAAAGTTTAGGAAGAGTTTGCTGATACCTACAAAGTAGCTTTCTGGAAATTTTATTGTAATTGCATTGGAACACAGATTAGTCAAATTGGGAAGAATTTATATCTTAACAATATTGAATCTTCCTATTCATGAGCACAGAATAGATTCCAATTTGTTTAAATCTTCTTTGCTTTGTCAGTGTTTTTATCTTTTACTTGCATATTTGTATAGTCTTATGCTTAAGTATGTTTATTTTTGGTGCTATCATGAATGTTATTGGTTTTTAATTTAAAATTCTAATTGTTCACTGCTGGTATGTAAAAAAATAATTAACATTTGGATATAGACTTTGCAACCTTGCTGTGCTTGCTTATTAGTTCCAGGAGATTTTGTAGATTTTGAGAGATTTTATACATAGACAATCACGTCACATGCAAAAGAAACAGTTTTTCATTTTATTTTTCTTTCCCATTTGTGTGTGTGTACACACATATGTACATAGGTATATGTGTTTTTCTAACTAATGCTCCAGCTACAACTTCATCACATAAAAATGGTGAAAGAGAACACCCTTGCCTTATTCCTGACATTAAGGTAACATTGTCCAGTCTTGCTTTACCATTAAGTATGATGCTAGCTACAGGTTGTGTGTGTGTGTGTGTGTGTGTGTGTGTGTGTGTGTGTGTGTGTGTGCATGTCCTTTATCAAGTTGAGGAAGTTCCCCGCTATTCTTATTGTGTTGAGAGTTTCTACCTTGAATGATGCTGGATTTTGCCAAATGCTTGTACTATATCAACTGATATGATTATGTGGTTTTATTTCTTTAGCCTGTTGACTTAGAGGATTACATTAATTGATTTCTGAATGTTGAGTCATTCATTAATAGAATACCTAGAATAAGTCTCACCTGTACATGATGCATAATCCTTCCTATACATTGTTGGATTATACTTGCTAATATTTTATTGGACATTATGCATTTATGTTCATGGGAGGAATTGGTCTATAATTTTTATTTTATGCAATGTCTTTATCTGGTTTTGGTATTAGGACAAAGTTTACCCTATAAAATAAGTTCAGAAGTGTTCTCTCCATTTCTATTTTGTAAAAGAGATTGTGGAAATATTTAATATTATACTATTATTATTAATTAATATCATTATTATTAACTATTATTAAGAAATAATTATTTCCTCTTTTAATACTTGATAGACTTCCCCACAAAGTCATTTGAGCTTTGTGCTTTCTTATTTTGGTAATTATTATTGATTGAACAACTTTAATATAGATAGAGAGACAGTATCTACTGTTTCTAAAGATATAGAACTATGTAAATATCCAAGCCCTATTCAAGTCCTGTAACATTTTGTATAAGTTCTGATACTTTCCTTTAAGGAACAGATACTTAATCTAAATTATCAAATTTGTGGACAAAAAGTACTTCTTAGTATAGTATTTCTTAATTATTATTTTAATGTCAATGCTGTCAATAGAGATGGCCTTATATATATTTCTGATATGGGAATTTTTTTTTCTTGATTGCAACGACTAGGTTTATAAACTTTATTAAGTTTTTCAAGGAATTTTTAGATTTAATTGAAAGTATCTTTTATTTTCTAGTTTTCAATTTAATTGATTTCTGCTTTAATTTTTATAATTTTAATTATTCACTTGTTTAGGTTAAAACTCTCTTATTTTTAGGAATCAGATTCCTAAGATTAAAGCTTAGATTACTTCTTTTGAATTTTTTTCTTTCCTAGTTTATTCAGGGTTATTAATTTATTTGTAAGTACTGTTTTTGCTTCATCCCACATACTTTGGTTATTTGTATTTCCACATTTATTTAGCTGAAAGTATATTTTAGCTTTCTGTTAAGATTTCTAATTTGACCCATGGATTATTTAGATAATGTGTTGCCTAATTTCCAAATAATTAGGGATTTCCTACCATTTTTCTGTTATTGACTTTCAGTTTGATTCCACTGTAATCTGAAAACATATTTTGTATAATGCATAATATTTTAGATTTGTTAATGTGTCCTTATGGCACACATGATGAAGTTTATCATGGTGAAAGTTTCATGGTAGCTTGAGAAGAAAGTGCATTCTGCTGTTGTTGGGTAGACTATTCTATAAAAAACAATTAGATAAACTTTTGGACTCAAGAAGTCTGCCTACCTTGGCCTCCCAAAGTGTTGGGATTACAGGCGTGAGCTACCAAGCCCAGTCTCATTTTGCTTCTTTTAAAGAACTTATCCTACCATTTCATGAAAGGCATGTTTACTGGCAACAGATTTCCCCAGTTTTTGTTTATTTGAGAAAGTCTTTACATTTCCTTCATTTTGAAGGCTAATTTCCCTGAATGCAGATTTTTAGGTTAGGGTTTTTGTTTTTTAGCACTGAATATTTTATTCCACTGTCTCCTGGTTTGCATTATTTCTGATGAGAAGTATGCTGTAATTCTGATCAGCATTTTTCTATATATATGGTGATTTTCTTTTCTGGCTTCTTTGAAAATTTTTGTATTTAATTTTCTGCAGCTTTAATATATGATTTAGTATTTTTTGTGTGTAAGTATTTGTTCCTTTATGATTTAGTATTTTATCTAAGTATTTGTTCATTTTGCTTGGTGTTCTCTGAATTTTCTGAATGTGGAGTTTTATATCTACCACTAGTTATAGAAAGTTCTTAGGCTTTATTACTTTAAATATTTCTTTGGCTCCATTCTCTCTTACTACTTCTGCTGATATTTCAAGTGTGTGTGTGTGTGTGTGTGTGTGTGTGTGTGTGTGTGTGTAACTTTTAAAATTGCTCTGCAGTTCTTGAATGTCGTATTCTACTTCTTCCTTCAAATTTTGTTCTCATTATGATCAAGTTTGGGATGCTTCTATTGACCTATCTTGAAGGTCCTTTATTCTTTCCTTGGCTATATTGAATCTAGTGATAACCTTATTGAAGGCATTCTTTTTGTGACTGTGTTGTTGATTTCTAGCATTTTAAAACTTATTCCTGGAGTTTTCCTCTTGCTGCTTATATTACCCACCTGTTCTTGAATGTTACCTACTAATTCATTAAATCCCTTGGCATATTAATTATAGCCATTTTAAATTTCCTGTCTGATATTTCCAATATTTGTGTCATATATGAGTCTGCCTTGCTTTTTCTCTTTAGAATTTCTTTCTTGCCTTTTTACATGTCTTATAATTTTTGGTTAAAAGCTGGACATATTGTATGTGCTATTACAAGGAGTTTCTGATTCCAGCATCTTTGGCTTCAGTGTCTTGCATGTCAGGTAGGCAGATCTCACCTGTTATTCTCTGTATGTGCTGTCTCTTCACATTTCAGGGTGACAGCTTGCCCTGCAAACTCACATATGTATTAGGTCAAAGACAGTCATTGATTTTTAATTTGTCCAGCTTTCTTTGATGTTGTTTTAGGACAAAAATGATGTATTTTATGTTCTTTATATGTTGGAACTGAATCTGTAAGTTCAAAAATTAGATTTTTAATCTATTACAAAAAAAAAATCACTGTGTCTTATTCAACCAAGATATAGGAAAACAGACACTTTATTTCATGTCTACCATAGGTATGAATCACTACACATTTTGAATAAATATAGCTCTATAAATTTTAATTCTAATAAAAATATTTGATCCAATCATTTCACTTTGGTAAACATTCCACTAAAATAAACGCAAATGCATAAAGATAGATATGTAAGAATATATACTCTTGCTAATAATAACTTATAACACTCTGAAAAGATCCAAAATAGCAGCTAACATGGGGAATGGTTGAATAAAAAATGGAAGGTTTATACTGTGGTAGGTTACAAAAATAGTCTCAATTTTTCAAATCTCTTGCACTCTTACCCTTTGCCGTGCAACTGTGCAGCCCTCTCTCTCTCTCTATGTGATCAGCCATATGACTTGTTTTGGTGACTGCTAATATAGAACTTTAGCATGCATGATAAAAGCAGCAGTCTAGAAAGCACTTGCATGCTTGCACTTGCCTTTTTGCCTGGGAGCCTCTGCCATCGCTATGAGAACATCCTCAGGCTAGCCTCCTGGAGAGGCAGAGGCACACGCAGAAAAGGTGAATCACCCATGTCCCCAGCCCAAGCCATCTTAAATCAGCTAAGAGCCAAAGGACGCTTAGACATGAGAGCAAGCACAGTCAAAACAAACAAGGCTGCCTAGCCAAGTAGCCCAGGTACATGCGTATTAACAAGGCTGCCTAGCCAAGTAGCCCAGGTACATGCATATTTTTGTACCCCCCTTAAGTTGTTTGGTCATTTTTGCACAGCATTATTTCAGCAATAGATAGCTAATACTACATAACTGTTAAGAGTAATAGCTACTCTGGAGGCTGAAGTGACAGAGTTGCTCGATCCCAGGAGTTTGAGTCTAGCCTGACCAACATAAACACGAACCAATCTCTTAAAAACAATGAAAAAACTAATTATCTATGGACCTCGAAAGATGTCCATTACATATTGTCAAAACTTTGAAAGTCAAGTTGCAGTGATATATGTTTCCTATATGCATGCATGAATGTTTATAAAATCATGGCATTGCATATAATGTCCATAATCCACATATGAATGGAAATCCAAGACACACCTGCCTCAGCCATCCAGGAAAGAAAAGGAAGAATAGTAAAAGATTACTCTTTTCTGTAAGTTTCTTATATTGTTCCACTATTCCTGCAAACATGACTTTTTCTTCAATTTGTAAAGTTCTCATAGGAAAAGAAAATTAACTTGTTTTATTTTCTAAATTTTTGACCTATATTTTGAAAACAACTTTATTTTTTTCTCTCTTTTCCTGTGGATTTCCTCTTCATTTGTAGTAGCCAATATCTTATAATGTACATATTTTAACAAGATGTTTCTGATGAATAATAATATAGGAAAAATTTTATAATAACAGCTCCAAATATCAATAAATATTTTAAACAAAATGATATATCAAAAACTACTCAGTTACTCTCTAAATACAATTAGTCCCTCATTAAAATCACGTTTAGCCCTTTTTAAAAATGTGCTCCCATGAACATCACACACTGGGGCCTGTCAGGGGATAGGGGACAAGGGGAGAGAGAGCATTAGGACAAATACCTAATGCATGCAGGGCTTAAAACCTAGATGACCGGTTGAGAGGTGCAGCAAACTACCATGGCACATGTATACCTATGTAACAAACCTGCACGTTCTGCATATGTATCCTAGAACTTAAAGTAAAAAAAAAAATGTGCTGAGGCTACAGGAGTGGGTTTACTCTTAAATGCACCCAGTGCCCGGAGGATCCAGGTGATATCCTCAGTGGGTGTCACTCTCTGCCATGGTGCGTCTCCACTGACTGCTTTCCCACCATGCTTTTAGGAGTTAGATCTTATTTTTGCCTAGTTTTTGTTGGGGAAAAAAATGGTAATACAATTGTTGAATAAGGAGCAGAATGAGTCGATTGCAATTCATTGTATAATTGACTGTAATAAAAAAAGAAGACATCACTGCAAATGAGTAACTGTTTATCACCAACTACATTAATTGGATACTAGGAAGCAATGTTGTGAGCATTTTACACCCTACCACGATAGAGTAATTGTGCACCTGCTATGTTTTATAATACTAGTTGTAATTTTTAGACTGATGTGTCATACCCTATCATTTTTCTATGTACAATATTCGGAAACACTCTTCCACTTGGTGCTTGGCAGAATGTCTGATATAGTTTGGAATAGACGTCCGAGATTCAGTGTGTGAGTTAGGGTAGGATCTTGGATATAGTTTTCTTTAAAACTACACCAGAAACTTAAGAGGAACTCAGGATTGCAACTAGCTGTAAGGTTCCTCTCTGTGGATTAGGAAGAGTTGCAGTATTACAGGTGCACAGCTTGGTCAATGGACCACAGATGAAATTGTACCCTTCTTACTCCTTCAGGCAATGCCCCCATGATGTGCAGGATGTGCAGTGGCCCTGAGTGAGGGGCAGGGCCAGCATGTATCAAATGTGAACTAGGTGGATTGCATCCAGAATGGCTTACTTTTTATGTAATGAGCCAATGATATAGTCACCATTATCCAAATGTCACAGCCCTAGAGAATAAAGCTGGACAAGTTAAGTACGCTGCCCAAGTTTACACACCTGGATAGTGTCAGGGCCTGGGCCCAAACTTAGGTCTGTCTGAGCTGGGGCAGCTTTCTACACAAAGGTTGGAAGGCAGCATGAGAACACTGCCAAGTATTCACTTGGCCTGACCTTCACCAGCCAGCTCAATAGGGTTTAAAATTCTATGTCCAGGATAGAGAGAAAGAGTAGATTCCAGAGACTAAGGTGAGTATTCTACATGCCTTTGAAGAATGAAAAAAAGAAAGTGAAGAGCTCAGTGATTCAAGCAAAACAGCTGACTTGATAGGAACAGCAGATGAATGGCTGTGGATTGAAAAGTTAGCCCTGGATGGAAGTTCATTTATCTAATGTGAATTGGTAAGGAGAAAAAGTAGCATCTGTTAGAGGAAAAGAAACAAGTGGCCTAATTGTGAACATCTTTGAGAGATAAGATGGTTTCAGAATAATGGAAGACAGGTTATCTGACTCAGCCTGCCAAGGGACAGAAAGCAAGTCTAGTCATGCAATACTATTTTGTTCATCCAGACCAATGCTTCCATATAATGGAGAAAGCTGAAGGATGTGGCATGGTCTTCATTAGAGAATGACAGCTAAGGAGCTTATGAAGGCAACAATGAGTGCTTTGGAGAAAGGCACTATGAAGGTGATTGTGTCAGTACACCCAAAAGCAGGGCCCTGTTCTTGAGGCAAATTCATTTTAACCAACCTCAAGAGATGAATGCATAAAGCCTGTCTTAGTCCATTTTGTGTTGCTATAACAGAATATCTGAGGCTGGGTATTTTATAAAGAAGAGAGGTTTCTTTGGCACACCATTCTGCAGAAAGCACGGCGCCAGCATCTGCTTCTGGTGAGGCCTTAAGAAGCTTCCACCTCTGGTAGAGGAGAGGAAGCAGGACAGCAGGGAGGGAGGTGCCAGGTTCGTTAGTAACAATTAGTACTCATGGGAACGATAGAGTGAGAACCCACTCATTACCCAGAGGATAGCACCAAGCCATTCCTAAAGGATCCACCTCCATGACTCAAAAACCTCCCATCAGGCCCCACCTCCAACATTGGAGATCAAATTTCAACATAAAATTTGAAGGGGGAAATATGCAAACTATATCAAAGCCTAAGTGTATTTGCAAAGTTGTTATGAAATTGTTATTGCTAAAGGGGCCAGATAATTCCTGCGTTGGCCAAGTCACTTCATCTTTATGGGAAAACAACATAAATGGCCAAATTCTAACCTAAATGTGAGCAAGCATTCAGAGGAAGGGGCATGAATGTATGCATTTCATGCACTAGCTCCTCCTGGAAGGTGATGTTGTTCTCCTGCCAGGCATCTCTTCTGATCAGCTCTCTGAGGCACATCCTGACCCCTTGCCCAAGTCAAGTCCCATGTCAAGGACTTCAGCACTTTCTTATAGAAAAACCTTCCTGCTCTTGCAGTGGCCTAGTTCAGGTGGGCTTGGGCTCTGTGGAAGCCCAGCTTCTGCCCTGACTCATCCCTGCATCTCAGTGCCCTGCCAAGCTTTTGACACACAGGAGACAGCATATGTGTTTTGGGGTACTTTAATCAATTAAATTGTGGACACTGGTAGAACGTCAATTTTTTTATATTTTATTTTATTTATTATTATTATACTTTAAGTTTTAGGGTACATGTGCACAACGTGCAGGTTTGTTACATATGTGTACATGTGCCATGTTGGTGTGCTGCACCCATTAACTCGTCATTTACATTAGGTATATCTCCTAATGCTATCCCTCCCACCCCCCCCACCCCACAACAGTCCCCAGTGTGTGATGTTCCCCTTCCTGTGTCCATGTGTTCTCATTAAAACTTCAATTATTAACATAGAATGAAATATCAGTGAGAACCCATGGCTTGGGGAAGGAACCAAACCCTGACTGCAGAGCATGAGACCCCAAGGCATGGCCGGGATGACTTCTCTCACCACCATGGCCAGCTCTGTCGATTTGCATATCCTTAGCAAAAAGCCCTCTCCTTCCCATTGTCTTCTGTATTCGAGTGCATTTTTGTGGTATACATTGGCTCTGGATGGAATTGTCATGTTTCCCTTGAGTTTGTATGTTGAAGCTCTAATCCCCAGTGGAATAGTATTTGGAGTTGGGAACTTTGGGAGGCTATCAGGGTCACATGAGGTCATGAGAGCAGGACCCTCATGAGAGGATTAGTGCCCTTTTAAGAAAAAACCCCAGAGATTTCTCTCTCCACCAAGTCAGGACACAGTGTGGAGGTGACGGTCTACAAGCCAGGAATAGAGAGCTCATCAGAGCCTGTCCATGCTAGCACCCTGATCACAGACTTCCAGTTCCCACCACTGTCAGAAAATACTTTTCTGTTATTTAAGCTCCAGTCTATGATATTCTGTTATGGTAGCCCAAGGTGACTAAGACAACATTTCCTTCTAATTTTACTTTTACTCAAAAGTCATGAATATTTTTCCAATAGCTGAATATTATTCTATCAATGATACCTACAGTAATAGGGTATGAACAGGGTATAATGAGGGAACTAGCTCTCATTACCTAATTTAATTCATGACCCGTTGGTCAAAATTCAGTCAATGCAGCATCTTCACAAAAATCATAACTACTCAAGCAGTGAGGTCGTGGCCCAGTTCTGCTATTTTACATAATCCATTATATGATTTTTATTTTCTCTAAGACACTGTGTACTAATATTGACTTAATGAGTTCTTTACATAAAGCATGCAAACATAAGTCCCTCTTCTAAAGAGTGTGCACAGTTCATTCCCTTAAGTTTGGCATAGTTGTGTGGCACCCAGGACCCCACACACCTTTCTGCAGGCGTTGTCCTTTAGGGGAGCTGACTCGCTTCCACTCCCCCTCCTCCCAGGGGCAGCTTCACAGCTTGAAGTGGAGAGCTGACCTCAACACACAACAGCAGGCAGCTGTTAGGAAACAGGAAGCCCCCCACTGAGCTTCACAGGTCGAAGATTGGGAACTTGAACCTCATGAGAAAAACAACTCCTGATTTTGGTTAGCCTCAAATAATTTGGGTCAACAACACAATACAACTGTAAAATGTTAACATGGTCTCAGGCCTTGCTCTCAGAGGAACACAGACTTATTTCCAATCTAGCAAGGTCACAGGGCATGGAGATCCTAGTAGATTCTAGGGTCATGTCCTCAGGGAGGTGAACATCCTGAGGTGGTGCAGGCCTCAACAGTGGGAGGTTGTAGCCTGCCCTGCACCCCAGGACCTGAAGGGCACGGCCTCTAAAGCTCCTGAAGGGCTAGTGGCTACCTGCCTTCCAGGGCACGGCTGCTGTCTTCTGGAAGGAATAGGGCAGAGGCTTCTTTCTGCATTATTACAAAAGCAGGAGATGGTACATCTTCCAGTCCAAGTCATGAAGACCCTGACAACAGAGCGGCACGGGCTGGCATTGTCCGTCGTGGGTGGAGGTGGGACGATTCGTTTTCCAGGTGGCACTTATTTCTCATGGTGGTAGGTGGCTCAGACTAGGCACGCCTGTCATCTACACCACGGACCAACACCCCTGAGTCTGAGCATTCCAGCCCCAGGGTGGACGCTGCCTCTGTACAATTTGCCCTGGAAGTGCAAGAGCAGTGGGTACGAGATCAGTTGAGTCTCAGCGATGCTACACTTGGCACCAGCACCTACAGCAGCACTGAGCAGCCAGTCTGTGCTTACCATGCACTGCTGAATGACTGCCCAACGGCAGCCCACATGGGAACGAATGGAGGGATTTACTCAGAGCGTGCCAGGGCAGGGGAGTCAGCCACCATCACTCGCATTTCAGCAGAGACTCATATGGAGTGGTGAAGCTTCTTGATGGCAAGGGAAGCCTCAGGTGGGCCCTGATGGAGGCTGTTGGCCTGGAGAAGCTGGGGGGAGGCCCACTTGAAGCCAGGTATCCTTTGAGATTGGTTAGGGGAGCAAATTTGGTTTCCTCAGGCTGGTCCTGAGTTGAAAGTGGAGGTAACATGAGGGATACTGGTAGTCATTGATTAAGTGCTGACTATTCTGGGCCAATTGCTGCAGAGGCTGTGTTTTGGCTCATGGCAGATGGAGGCAGAGGTCTTGTGCCAGAGCTCTGTGGTCCTGTATGTTCTAGCCATTTTCCAGTGAACATTCCGGGTCTCAGAGCCTCTCAGGTTGGGATGGTGCCACGTGATTCTCTCAGAGGGGAGCAGTAGGAAGCTTGCAGCTGCAATCCCAAGAGTAGAGCCTGCAGCGGTGGAGGTGGCTAGGCTGTTGGAGCTGCTGAAAGGTTTTGAGGTTCCAGTAGGATTGTCAGTACCGTGGCAGGAGAGGGGTCCTCATCATGATGGTGAAAATGTGCGACCGTATTTCTTGCACTCCAGCCTACTGTTACAATTCAACCACATTGGGTTTTATCTTAATGAGAGAAGGATGGATTATTTGTTTCATGATGAAGGTGACATTTCGGTTCCCTTTAGTGCAGGGACAAGGACAGCATCCTGCCTCCCTGCGTGGAAGTTGGTATTTTACAAAGCCAGAATTGTGCCTTTTAAATGCTCACTGGGGCAGAAAAGCCCCTTGTCAAGGGAAAGTCGTCTGTCTCTATTAATTGTGCTGTTGCTAATAAGCCAGAGAATGACTCACTGGTAACCTCAGTGCCCCATCACGTTTTTATAACCTATTTAAACTCCAATGAAAAGAATACTACAGCTGCTGCTACATAAATCACACTCAAACCTGATTTCTGTCCTTTCATGTTAATAAAATTCCATAGCCACTACACAGAAAGTCCCAAACCCTTCACATCTCAGCAGCGTGTATCCGCTCAAACAGGTGGATTTGTAAAAAGCCATTTTCATTTTTGAGCTTGACCCACTGCAGACTAACAGAACACAGTTTTTTAATACCTGTAGCCCCAGCATGGGTGCAAAGAGAGAAGGATGTGGAAACAACAGATCCCAGAGACCAGAGTGGCCGAAGCCCAAGAGACACCATGGCCTGGTATCGAGCCATCTCTGGTCTGCAAAGTACCCAGTACCCAGTGGCCAGGCTGGTGGCTTCATTTCAGTCATTCACAATTTGGGCAGCCCCCATAGCTGCTCACAGGGACAGACTGTGGGGACTGGCTCTGCAGGCAGTGGAATGAGCAGAGTGAGGTCTTCCTTCCTCCGGGGTCTGAGGAGGCCGAGGGAACCCAAGGTCTAGCAGCTGGCAGCACACGGATGCTCGCCTCTGGGTCCCCACCTCAGGGTCCACATCCAAGATCAACTTCTTTTAGCAGCTGGCTCTGGGCCCCCAGATGGATTCTGCATTTTATGGGTGCTAACCTGTGTGTCAGCCTTATTTCTCCACCTAAGGGTCCTCATCCCTGCCAGCAAACCCAGGACAGGGCTAACTCCAGAACACTTTGAACTGAGAGCTACTCACTACAGGATTTTTAGAGATGTGTGTGAAAACAGCTGGGAGGCTGCTGGCTGGAAGAAGCCCTTGGCTGGCAAACTTGACCCAGCTTCCAATGTGTGGTGCACTGTGCAAAATCTCTCCCACACCTGGAGATGGGCTCTTGAGTCCCTGATAACATAGCCCTTTCCCGTCAAGTGAGGTTTTTATCTTTGGGATGTAAAACAAGGGCCAAGCTCTGGCCCCAAGGAGCACCTGGGGACCTGCTGTCTTGCTGGTGCAGTGGCGGAAGCTTGCTGCCTACATCGTGTTCCTGAGGCTCATGTTGCAAGGCGGCATTGCTCTACATGGGCTGACTGGAGCTCTGCAGGTGTGAGGAGCTGCCCAAGAACCATCGGGAACTTTCTCCATCTGCCCCCAAGGGGAGCAACACAAGCTCCTCACATGATAATGTTGGACAAAGGCTCAGAACTTCACCTGAAATGGCAGATTTAATCTCCGGGTCAAAGACACAGCTATCACTTATGAGTTCTGAAATAAATTACTATATTAAAAATGACATAAACCACACAACTGAATCAAAAATGCTGTTTCTGGCATTTGCCCCATTTTCATTTCACCCACATGCCCAGACAACTTTGAACAATATAATTCCTGGAATGATCTGATAAATAGTCAGGAACTGATCTGTTTACCGTGGAAATACCATGATATACAATGGTTGTAATAATTATGGGAATTACAGAGATTCTTTAACACTTTCCAAATGAGATGCCTTTTTTGGCAAATCTAGGAGACCGAGTTTAATTTAAATCACAAATACCTGAAGGATTATTATCCTTTATTAATTGTAATAAATATAAGGTGGCCGGGCGCAGTGGCTCACGCCTGTAATCCCAGCACTTTGGGAGGCTGAGTTGGGTGGATCACGAGGTCAGGAGATCGAGACCATCCTGGCTAACACGGTGAAACCCCATCTCTACTAAAAATACAAAAAAATTAGCCAGGCGTGGTGGCGGGCACCTGTAGTCCCAGCTACTCCGGAGGCTGAGGCAGGAGAATGGCGTGAACCCGGGAGGCGGAGCTTGCAGTGAGCTGAGAACACGCCACTGCACTCCAGCCTGGGCGACAGAGAGAGACTCTATCTCAAAAAATAAAATAAAATAAAATAAATAAAATAAAATAAAATAAAATAAAATAAATATAAGATATACACTGTTCATTGTATTGTCAGTATATTATGCATAATATGTAATACATATAATAATTATGTATAACTATTTATAATAATAAAGAACAAATCAGATCAGGAGTCCAAATTCCTGCAGACATATGTTGTAAATATTGACAACAGGTGCAGATTTATTTGTATTTTGTTTTGGATGCCTCTTCTTTCTTTGCCCTGGAACCCTCTATGACTTTCTTCTATTAGGTGAGTTCTATTTGTGTCTTAGATCACAATGCACCAAAAAACCTTCTTCCTGACCTTGACATTTGACTTTGATTTCACATCATCCATTTAAATAGGAAAATGGGAAGCTGGCACCAGTCAGATAAAGCCTGCACCTGGGCAGATTTGTACGGTGGGAGGAGGAGGCAATGTTGGCCATGGGCATATGGAAAAGATAAAAGCCAGATAAAAGCCGTTTTAACGACAGAAAATAACGAACATGAGGAAGAGTGGAAAAGAGAGAAAGGGTTTTTGTGTTTTAAATGCAAAGAAAAAGGTTCTTCAAGAAAAAAAACACACACACACATTCTTTTTTTTTTTTTTTTCTTCTCCTGAGATGGAGCTGTCTGGTCAGGTTCTTCCAGATTAATCAAGTGTTTAAGTGGAGGGGCTCCTTGACATTTTGAAGTGAGTTGAGACTGAAGTGGTTTACCTCTGACATCAAGTGCTCAGTAGTGAATTTTTATACTTAATGGGATGCAGGGTCATTTCCCAGGAGCTATTTAGGGGACCTTTGTAGCTTCAAAATGTGATTCTACCCTCAGAAGTGCCTACAGCTGATTATTAACCATGATTCATAAATTCTTTAGAAGGTGATCAAGTTAAGTTTATACATTCAGACGGTGACAGGAAGCAGCCTTCTCTGCAGCTGTAAATACCCCAAACCACAATGACAGGGGTGTTTTAAATTGTTTTCTTCTTCACTGCCTTTTATCTGTACAACAGCCTTTTTGAAAAAAAAAAATACCGAATCCTTTTATACACATTTAGAATAGGCGGTGAAGGCAGAAATAAGAATGAGGTGGGAGGTGATCACTGGCCCCCACTCAGAGCTTGTGAATTACCAAATTTCCGGAAATCGCTGATGATGGCACCAAAAAATGTGAGGGACAAAAGAGACAGGAGACAATCGCCAATGGGACCGTGGGTTGCACGCCTTAGGCACTGAATACATCCAGCTCCACCATTTCACCCATAAACTGCCGACATCGCCTGTGTGGGGGGAGCAGAAGGCCTTGCGCGAACCCCCTCACCGTCTCCCAAGCCCACCTCGCCTAAGGCAACGGGCTGTTCCTGTCCCAGGAGAAACAGCCTTTCATTCCCTGGTCAAACAAATAAAAGAGGGCCCAGGCCAAACGCATCAACATTGGAATATGTATGTCACTTGTGCTTGTCACACGGGAACACTTATGAAAAACGCATTTGGAGTCCGGCTTATTCTTCCCTGGGTTTTGAGGGAGTGAACATGACTCTGCCCCAGCTGGGCAGGCTGGGCCAGGCTGAGTGCTTTCCGGAGCTCCCAACACACCCCTGGCCCTGCAAAGACATATCCTTTCATTTTATCATGAAACTACCGCGTCTTATTTGTGCAGTATCACATGTGTCCTGGATCTTGACCCAGAAGCCAGGAACGTCCAAAGTCTCACATTTAAATGTGACCAGCCATCATTTTGTGGATGGAAATTTCTCTTTGCTCTGGTCTTCCCTCTGTAGAGACTGAGGAAGGGCACAGCCACGTTTCGCTTTTAGAGCCCTGAAATGAGAGGCCTGATTATCTAAGGGTGAAGTGGTCATTTTAGTAAAGAAAGGCCTGTCTGCTGTCCACCCTGTGAGCCACTGTCCACCCTGTGAGCCACTGTCCACCCTGTGAGCCACTGTCCACCCCGTGAGCCACTGTCCACCCTGTGAGCCACTGTCCACCCTGTGAGCCACAGCACAGATGCCATGAGATAGCATGCAAATCATCAGGAACACGTTGGCTCCTTAGCTCAGAGGATACTTTAATAATAATCTTAGAAAAAGCAAAATATTAAGTTAATACCTACAGAGTTCTTTAATTTTGTGAGCTCCTCATCTTGCAATATTTATTTTGATCCAGGCTCCAGCAGAAATATTACTAAGCTGACAACTGAAACACTGGAAGTAATTTCAGAATTTTGTTACTAATCAATAATCTATATTAATAATATGGTTACCACTCATGTCTCCCTCTGATATTGGATGTTCTATGCAAAAATGACCAACGCCTTTCTTTGTTGGATTTGGTGATGATCCTTAGACTAGCACTATTCAATCTGTTATTAAATCTGTTGAATCTGTTTAATAGTGCTAGTCTAAGGGAACATCAAGTTGACATGACAGTGTGGTTTCATTCCTCTATGCTCTCCAATTAATTTTTAATAGAAATAAATTGCTGCCTGCATTGGGATTATCCAGAAACATCATTCAGTTGTTCCTCTTAGTGGTCAGAACCTTTGTGTTTACTCTTGTAGGAGGGTGTTACGGGCTGAATCATGTCCCCACAATTACTATGTAGAAGTCCCAACCCCAAGTACCTCAGAATGTGACTATATTTGGGGATAGGGTCTTTAAAGATGTAATTAAGTTAAAATGAGGTCATCTGGATGGACCCTAATCTGATATAACTGGTGTCCTAATTAGAAGGGGAAATGAAGACACAGACAGGTGCAGAGGGAAAAGTATGTAAAGGAATGAGGGGAAGGTGCCATCTAGAAGACAGGGTGCGAGGCCTCAGGAGAAACCACTCCTCTGACACCTCCATGTCAGATCTCCCGCCTCCAGGACTGTGAGACGAGGCATGTCTGTGGTTCAAGCCCCCCAGATTGTGGTATTTTGTTATGGCAGTCCTAGCAAACTCATGCACAGCATGAGTGATTTTACCTTTTCTTTTCTTTTTTTTTTTTTAAATACCTATAGATAACTCTAGCTACCTGTACTTTACTTTAAAGGTATTTTAGTGGAAACCTCAAATCAACACTCCCCTGTGACAGATACTTGTCCTCTGAGGTAGTCCTCACCGAGATTGCACAGGTTCTCGCCGAGATTGCAGACCTGGTGGCAGAGAAGGAGGATGAGCTGTAAGCCTAAGCCTGGCCGGCCAGCCCATGCAGGTGGGAGGGTGACGGCTCCACCAAGCCGCGGGAGACACTGAAGAACAGAGGGAATCACGGGGGCCAGGCCAGGCAGCAGGACGCATGAGACTGAGTGGCATGAGTTATTTTATAAGGCAATTCCCATGTCTAAATCTGAATATTAAATTCAGAGGGTGAAAAGCAAATATTACAAAATTAATCTGCTTAAAACAGAGTTATAAATCTTATTATATTTCCAGCCACTCTAGGTTCATGCCTGAGCAACAGATGTTAAGATTTGGGTATGAAATTGCTCCCACCTGATGTTTGGCAACCCCTAGGCTCTCCCAAACAGGACATCAGCTTCTAGGCCACACGTGCGTTTCCACAAAGGTTTTGAGGGGTGTGGTTTTGCATTCTGATGGGTCAACATTTTGAAGAGACATTCTGACCCAAATGAAGAAGACTAGGAAGAAGGTGCCCATTTATTTCACCCATAGCTACTGCAGGGTTTGGGCATAGGGATGCAGATGTGCACAGCCATGGCCACACCCCGGGTGAAACCTCCTAAGCCCCCTAGGTCCCCAACCCGAGGTCACCAACACCACAGAGAGGCCTCCTGGGGGTAAAGTGCCTACCCCATGTGGGCTTCCCAGGCTGCCTGCTCTGCCCCTGGCTCTCTGACCACCGAGGCACAGAGCATCTGTGCCCCACCCACGACAAGACTAAGTGGCCGCAGCTTTATATTCATCTCCCCTTCCCAACAGCACATATTCATTATAGGGGCATTTTATTGTTAGTTTAAATTAAATGTGTAGAGAGGAACTGGGGCCTGAAGGAAAGCAATTTTAGATAAAATATCCTGAATTTGGCAAGCATTTTTCAAAGCTTAATGAGGAATATTCAGGGTATGTAATTATAGAAATCTACTGAACTCATTCGCCTCCAAGGATGGAAAAGGGAGGGCTGTGGAGGAGAGCAAGGGGCTCTCTTCTGAGGTGGCCAGGACATCCACACTTGCTCATCCACACTCACCCATTCACAAACACACACTCATGTCCACACCCATAACCACACACTTATGCACACACACGTTCACATCCATACACAAGTACACACGCGTGTGCACACTCACACACACACATACTCTCGCATGCACGTGCACACATACTGATTTGCACCAGCTCACTCGCTCTGGGACACACACGGCCTTCAGGAAGAGGCCCTGCATCGCCACTGGTAAGCTTCACTCTGTCATCAAAGGAGCTGGAGGATGGTATCTGTTTCTCCTGAGACGTGGGCCCCACGCTGCTCCACTGGCTGTCCCATGCCTGGGGCCCTCCTGGGGCTCATCAACTGATCAGCTGTGTGAGTGCAAGACCCCCCCTTATGGTAAGAGAACCTCAGGTGCACGTTGTGTGTGGGGAGCCAAGGGATTGCACACAGCCAGATTCCAATCTCAGGGGCTCCTGGCTCACACCTGCAGAGTGATATGGTTGCCAATCTCTGTATTATCCCCGTGCATCCACAAGGCTGCAGCCAGAGGATGCCTGGCCGCAATGGGCCAGGTCCATACCAAGGTCCAGTTCCAAATGAGAGCAGTTCTCTGCAGGAGCACTCAGACCTCCAATGCTCTTCCTTGCTCCTCTTCTCTGAGCATTTCTTGATCCAACTCCTTTCTCTTTCTACCATTTCCCCACTTGCTACCAGCACTTAATTCCTTTAAACCCTGGGATTCCTGACCCAGTATCTCTGCAGAGGTGCTCCCTCCACCATAACAACCCCTGGGAGGGCCTCTTCGTTTCCCACCTCATCCCCATGACCCCACAACTGTCCTCTCTCATTCATTGCCCCTCCGTGTCATGCCTGGAGATCACAGGGTCTGAGGGAGCCATGCTTATCATGAGAGGATGTCCAGGCAAGCAATTGGCTGCATGGCTTCTGCACGGTTTAACAGGTAGGGCCCAAGCAGGTGAGAGACAGCAAGTAAGATGATGGCAGCTTGATGGAGATCCTCAGTGTATTAGTCTGTTCTCACGCGGCTAATAATGACATAACCGAGAGTGGATACTTTATAAAGGAAAGAGGTTTGACTCACAGCTCCACATGGCTGGGGAGGGCTCACAATCATGGCTAAAGGCGAATGAGGGGCAAAGTCATGTCTTACATGGCAGCAGGCAAGAGTGCGCATGTGCAGGGGAACTTGACTTTATAAAACCATCAGATTTTGTGAGACTTATTCATATCATGAGAAAGACCCAACCCCATGATTCAATTACTTTCCACTGGGTCCCTCCCATGACACATAGGAATTATGGGAGTTACAATTCAAGATGAGATTTGGGTGGGGAAACAGCCAAACCATATTATCCAGTGCTGATGATCCCCCAAGACTATTGAGTGACAGACAAGACCTCATACTTTCTCCTGACCAGAGCCTAAACCTCTGGAGAGAAGGCAGGCAGAGGGGAAAGAGCAAGCACACACTGTGGCTACAGGGCATAGTCCCCTGTGAATGGGGGAGTTTAGGGCTGGACAGAGGAACTGGCCCAGATGCGAGTGTCAGGGGTGGAGGAAATGACAACCAGGCTGAATCCCAAGGGTGAGGGTTGAATTTGGAGGTAGGGCCTTGCCTGAGCCCCATGGTCTGGGGTAGCGGAGGCTTCCTGGGGGTTAAGTTGCCCTAGAATGACTGGGGCTGGCAGGGAGACCTGAGCAGTAACTGAGAGAAGGCCCGTGAAGGCCTAGAGAAAAGGGGAGGCCTGGTGCAGGCCAGGAGAGAGCCTGGTGGAAGGGCAGGCAGGCTGGGGGCTGTTTGTTTTGCAGCAGAAGCTGAGGGGGAACCTGAGCATCTGCCTCCCATGCTTCCTTCCCCGTGGAGAGGAAAGGACCCATTTCTGCATCGTAAGTCCCAGGCCTTGCTGTGTGGTTGCAAGTCCTCTTCCCATCCCAGGGAAGGAGAAGGACTTACCAAGGCAGATTTCAGAACCCAATCATGCTTCCTCTCTCTGGGCAGGATGAAAACGTACACCCCAGGCACCAAGAGTCCTGCAGGAGCTCAGGCAGGGCCACCTGGGACTGGATCCAGAGGGCAGCAAAGGCTGGGGAGGGTGGCAGAGTCAGGAGGCAGCCGAGGCCTCCACTGAGCCAGACGGCCCAACCTGGGCTCTGCACATAAGAAAGGGATGCTTGGGTGGCCATGCACCTGAATCCCGAGTGAGCCCTGAGCTGGTCTTGAGCCCGGGCACAAGCATATCCCCACTACCCTGCAGGGACAGAGCAGTCACTGGTCCACTGATGAGAGCAGTGTCATCAAAGGGGTAAAGACAGGAGGCAGGATCAATCATGAAATTATGATTTCAGGTTTCATGCACCCCCAGGGCCTTCAGCTGAAAGCTCCCTGCAGATGAGTCAAAGTGGAGCAAACTAAAGCCATGTGGAACCCACAGAGCAGAGGACACAGGAACAGGGAGCAGGCGGCCAGTCTGCAGGAAAGAGCATAAAACAAAAACAAAAATGACAAGGACAGGAGGGGCCCTAGGGGTCTGAGGAAGGCAGGAGGGAGGGGCTGCAAGAGAGAGGGGGCAGAGACCCGGAGAGAACCAGGGTCTGAGTCCGGAGCCGGCCCGAGCTCCAGCTGTGCCTCTGTCACTGGTTCTGGATGTCCCCTCTGTGGAAGGTCAATAAATCTCAGTCCTAATTTGCATAGCTCCTTTTAAGAGTATAAAAGGGTCCTCAGACCCCAAATTACGAGAACCTCTGGGCTCCCACAATTTACACAGCGTCTTTATGTTCTTCACAACCACAGAGGCTTGAGTATAAAGCCATGGAAATGGAGAAAAGAAAGAAAGGAAGGAAAGGAAGAAAGTAGAGTGAAAAACAGGCAGAGAGGAAAAGGAATAGAGAAGATGGAGGTAGGAAGGGACAGAAGAAGAGAGGGAGGGACGGGGGCCATGGAAATGAGAAAAGGAAAAGAGAGGATGCCCCATATCCGACCAACACACCTGGAGCAGAGCGGAGTCCCTGGCTGAGGGGAAAGCGGGGAAGGGGGAGCTGACCTCAGACCAAGTCCTTGATCATCAAATATTTTTTAATCCATTTTTTCTTTAGACTGCATTGAATATTATGCCCACTATTTCTACAAGGGTTTCCCTAACAGTGGCCATTCTTTCTCTTGGGGCTCAGTGGGAACCCACTGCTGCCAGCAGTCTGTCCTGTGTGCATCAGACAAGGCAGGAGCTTTTCACTCCTTTCTTCACTGTGCATGCTGCACTGCAGACTCGCCTGGACCTCTCCGACAAGCCAGGGTAGCATCAGGGTGCAGCCATGCCCTCTTCATGGAGCTACTGAGAATCCCCCCACCAGCACCATGCTGCCCAGAACCATGTACAGAGCTGTCTTTAATGTGTGACATGCACCGACCCTGCAGGAGGTTTGCTAAGAGACAAAAGCCTTATTAGAGATCCTCAAGCCCAGGTGATGGGTGCAGCACCCCCAGGGCAGGTCACTCTTAGGACCAGGAGCGGCCCAAGGGAGATGGGGCTGCCTCTGAGGGCTTGGGATTCAGGAGACTGAGGTAAGGCTGAAAGCACAGGAGAAGATGGGGTGAGCTTCTGCTTACCCACCAGAAAACTGAGGGACGACACCAGCCATGGGCTAGGGAGAAAGGCATGGGGAGGAAAGGCGAGAAGAAGAACAGAAGAGGAGGAGAAGGAGAGTTGGGGGAGAAGGATTATTCATCAGTGATGTAGGACATGCTAATAAGGGACTACAACTCACACCTGTCATCCCAGGGCTTTGGGAGGCTGAGGTGGGTGCTTGAGCCCAGGAGTTCAACACCAGCCTGAGCAACATGGTGAGACACTGTCATTGAAAAAAATATTTGAAAAATTAGTCAGGTGTGGTGATGAGTGCTTGTAGTCCCAGCTACTCGGGAGACTGAGGAGGGAGGAAGTTGAGGCTGCAGTGAGCTACGATCATACCACTGCACTTCATCCTGGGTGATACAGAAAGTCCCTGACTCTAAAAATAATCACAAAATAATAATAATAATAATAACAATAAACCTATTCTCATTTCATTTGATTTGCTTTATAGAATTTGTTGTTTGAGTTAGGTTAATAATAAAACGATACACATTTGCTAACCTGATGGTTCTCACTGATTTTTTATCTCAGTGCCCCCTTCATGGTCTCAAAAATTATTGAAGAACCTGAAAGAGCTTTTGTTCATGTGGATTTAATCCATCAATATTTATCATATTAGAAACTAAAATTGAGAAAAATGCTAGCTATGTATGTGATCTTTTAAATATGAATCCATGGCATGTTAACATATATAATATTTTAATGAAAATAGATGTTTTCCGAAACAATACAGGAAATAGTGAGTGAGACGGGTGGCATAGTTTCACATTTTTGGATACCTTTTTTATGTCTGACTTAATAGAAGACAGTTGATCATTCTGCGCCTGTATTCAATCAATTGGGTCAGCCAAGGTCCTATACTTTCTGCAAAAGTCCACCATGCACTTGGGAGAAAATGAATGAGAGAATAAAGACAATTAATGTCTTCTTATGATTGCGAATATTGTTATACAAATGGAGGGGTGCTTTTTGTGCAGAGAGCAGAAACTCAGGTAAACGTAGTGCAACAAACTGAAATGTTCACATCACATGCCAAATGTTAACATTTGGAAACTGGTGAGTTACTGGAAAAGAAAGGTCTTAAATAGACTGCTAGAAACTTTTTAATACAATGTTCTCAACTTTTAAATGGAGAAAGTTATGTGTGGGTGTTATGGTCACAGTGCATTCCCCAAAATCCATAGGTTGAAAGTTAATGGCCAACCTGACAGCATTAAGAGGTGGGTCCCGTAGGAGGGGATTAAGCCACGAGCATGAAGCTCTCATGGATGAGATGAGGGGCTCTACACAGCAACTTGAGGTAGTGTCCATTCTCTTCCACACTCTTGCTGGGTGAGGACACCAAGACCACACTGCCTATGTGAAACGGGTCTTCACCAGACACCCAGCATGCTAATGCCTTGATCTGGGACTTCCCAACCTCTAGAAATGTGAGAAAGTAAATACCTTTTCTCTGTAAGTTCCCCAATCTGTGGCATTTGGTTATAGCAGCATGAATGGACTCACACAGGAAGCAAGTTTATGTAATAGGCAAATTCACCTAATAGGTGGAAGAGCTGGGCCTGGAAGCTGAGTCGTGGATGGCTACTTCAGTCCAGTGTAATATCCACTGTAGTTCTCTGTTTTTTACAAACACCTTTAATTCATGAATTGTTCTTCCTCCATTTAGTAGATGTTGCAAGTAATCTACATAGTTCGATTACAATGTACGTTCTACAGAATGTCATAGACTGACCTAGGAATTGAACTCAGTTTTCTGTTGGATTGCATTCTGAATTTCCAGCTAACTTACAGCTGATTTGAAGGTAAGCCATCTCCTTGTTAGACACGAGATTCCTGCAACAGGTTTAAGGGCCCCTGTGCTTACATCCATATGAAAACTGTCCACTGGGATGCTGGAGTCAAGAGCTGAGAGTCCTGACTCAGCCGTTCTCCAGGTGAGTGGATCCGTCTGAGCATGAACACCTCAGGTGTTACCAGAAATTATTCTTAAGTGACTTCATTCCTTACACGGTGGGTTCTAGTAAAACCTCCTTACGACTTGCCACAAATCTTACCCACGAAATGTCTCCTGCCAGTGAATTGGGAATGTATCTTTTGGTAGATGACAAGAAATATTTAGCATTGTGTATTAGGTGCAGGATAATAATCCTGCCAATTTTCTAATAACAATAAACAAGTATAAGTTCCACTTTGGTACCCTGAACTTCCCAATTTACAATTATAGAGCTTTGTAATTGTTTTTGAACTTTTTTTTAAATAATTGTCTGTTGATGACACAGTTATTTCACTTGGATTCCACCTCTGGGGCTTCTGTCTGTGTTGAGTTTGGCATCTCTGTTTCCCCAAATGATTGCATTTGTTTGGACTCACCAGGATCTCCAGCTACACACAGGCGTTTACTGTCTTCTCACCTGGAGCAAGGAGAGAGGGCCAATGAGACATGAGGTCTCATGCGTGGAAATTGAGAAAGAGATGAACATGATGTACTGTGGGGTCCCCTGGTGATGGCCCAGGGACTTGGAATCTTCTTACAGGGTAATTGAGAATATCATTACATAAAATGAGCATAAACTGTTATATTTTGCCAAATTTTGATAGAAAAATTTCTGTCTGCCTTCATCATCCACATAATTATCAATCTGGAACCACTTCCTTTTTCCGAGACATCATATTTTCATCAAATATTTAATATTCTTCATATATTATTCAATATGTTTATACTTGGAATAAAGACATTGTGTTTAATAAAGACATTAATTGTCTCTATTCTCTCATTCATTTTCTCCCAAGTGCACCATGGAGTTTTACAGAAGATATAGGACCTTCGCCATCCCAATTGATTGAAAATAGGAGCAGGGCGTCCACCTGCTCGGCACACGTGGAAGCAGGGCTGGTATCCATGAAGGGGTTTCCCAGTGAGAGATCCAGCACTCAGAGACCACGGATGGTGAAACTTCACTTATCCTGTAGCTCCTGGACAGGAAGATGAGACTCTTTTTTATAAGATATTAAAATAAGCTTCGAGACAGGATGTTCAGGCCACATCTGCTGGTGATCAGAAAAAAGAGAAACAGGCATAGACAGACAGGTAGAGTATTACATAAAGGAGAAGGACTAGGTTGGCAGAGTCAGATCAAAAATAGCTTTTTAAAAAAAGCACTATGATAAAATGAGTCCATCACTACTATTAAGAAAAAGAGAAACGTTCATTTCTGGGGCCTTGTGAGGCTATTCGGGTAAGCTTTTCTTTTTTAGGGATGAGTGTGTGGGTGTGTACACGTGAAAACCTTTTTCTCCTCCTTTGTTGATTTCAATTGTCTTGCTGGAGTCTTCTACTTAAGGACTTTAAGTCTCATCATTTAATAAGTGCAATTGGAGTGAGTCACCTCTACGTTGATCCCAAAATTAATAAACTCAGATCCAAAGCTAGAATTCTCTCGGGAGGCAGTGCTCTCTCCTTTGTGCCCCTTTTAATACTGACTGTAAATTGACCCACTGTACACTTCGAGATCAGACTCAGAGCTCAATTTAGATTAGCGCACATTCAAAGTTCTTAAAAATCCAAGTTCTATTCAAATGGGAGGCTTTCACGGCACACACAGCCTTAATCAAAAGTAGAGCTGTATAGAATGGTTTAAATGTAATCCAAATCTCGGCGAATTTCATGAATCTGCCCACTCAAGCTTCACGCGAGTGGGCTTATAAATACCATTTCTCCTTTTATGCATGATGGAGTGCAGGCTGCCTCTGCTCCTGGGCTCCACACAAACACCCCAAACAGGGGTTCCTTCTGCCTTCATGCAGATTTTATAGCATAAGCAAAATAAAATTCATTTTATTGATTGATAAAGGGTAATAAAGCATGACTTCTCCCTGAACAAGCCTCACTGGCGACTAGCTTAGGCCATAGACAGGGAGAGTTAAAAATCTGATGATTTTAAAAAGGCAATATAAGTGCAATAACAAAGAATCTGTGGGGGGGTGGGTGCGTGTAGATTGTGAAGTTGGGAGATTTAGGGGGTAGGGATGACTTCAGGAGGAAGAAAATACAATTTTATTAAATTAACAACTTAGGGTACCATTTCACACTGGAGTAGAATGGGTGATCTCATACACAAGAAGAAAGTATTGAAATTTATTGAGGTTTTAGAATTTTTAAAAATATAGTAGGTAATATGCAGCAGTTTTGAGATTTCAGTACTAAAATATCAGTCTCTTTTAATATTATCTTTAAAAAAAAGTCACCCAAAAGTGAAGAGCCGTTTGTCAAGGTTGTAAAAGAAACTTGAATTGAAAGTCAGTTAATCCTTGTGTCTAAAAATAACTTTCAGTATTCCAAATACACTAAGAGAAAAGTGATTCCTAAGAATAAATCAACTTATAAAGGAAAGCATACACAGTTTGCGAAAAGAACTGAAATGCCAAAGGATGATTTTTGAAGTGAACAAAATGAAATGTTTCCACGTCACACACAGCTCCACGCTGGCCCTGGGCAGAGCCCTGAAGGACACAATGGCATTGAGCTGGTGATTCAAGCGGAGTGTGTTGGGCGTGCTGTGGCCCAGGATACACAACCCCAGCCGTGAGCCGGGAGCAGTGAGGTATTTCGTTTTTGTGGGGAGCGTGTGAGGCAGTTCCGGTCTGAGACACCCATGCTTTGCTCTGTGTCCTTCCCCTTTCTTTTTCTCTTTTATAGAGAAGGATCTCACTATGTTGCCCAGGCTGATCTCCAAATCCTGGGTGCAAGCATTGCTCCTGCCTCAGCCTCCCAAATTTCTGGGATTATAAGCATGAGCCACCACACCTGACCCTTCCCTTTTTCTTATCCCCTTCCTTAGGTATCCCTGATAATTGCAAGAACAGACCAATGGCCTTTGCCTTGTCTGCCGCCTGGAGAATGTTACCCATGTCTTGCCTACACTTCTAACGACATGGAATCTGCCTTCAGATCCATCTGGGAGAGTCCACAACACTCTACAGCATGAGCCTTGTTTTCTCTCCCTCTTAGATCAGCACAGGAAATGTTATTTTGTCTTATGCCCGAGAGAAGTAGTAAAAATCAAACCTAACTAAGAAACAATGTTTGATTCAATATGGCTTATTTAATCAAAGTTACTGAAACATAATGTATATATGTATAGTAAGAATCCCCTTTTTGTGTTTCTGAGTTTTGACAAGTGTTTGAAGTTGTGTGACCACCACCATAGTCAAGAGAGACCAATCCCGTCAAATCAAAAAACCTCCCCTGTGCCCCTCTGGAGTGACCCTTTCCCCCTCACCCCTAACTCCTGGCAGTGCAGGTCTGATTTCTGTCCCTAGAGGTTCCTCTCCCACAGTGCCACATCAGCAGAATAATACACTTGCTACCCTTTTGGGCCTGGTTTCCTTCACTTGGAATAATGCTTTTGTGGTTTGCCCACGTGTGGATTCACTCAAGCCTCACTATTCGTTTTTATTGCTGAGTAGAATTCCATTGAATAGATGGAGCAGCATTTGTTTCTCCATCCACCAGTTGATGGACATTTCGGTGGTTTCCATTTTTTGGATATCATGCATCCTGCTGCTGTGAACATGTGTCAAGTGTTTGTGTGAAAGCATGTCTTCACTTCTAGGCAAAAGCCTAGGAGTAAAAGGGCTGAGATGTGTGATAAATACATGTTTCTCTCTCTAAGAACCTGCCAAACTATTCTCCCAGCTCATCATACCATCCCGCATTCATACTAGCAGTGCGGGAGAGCCCTGGTGGACTCACATGCGCACTGGCACATGGTACTGTAAGTGTTTCTCGCCTTTATAAAGATATTCTAGTAGGTGTGTAGTGGTAGCTCAATGTGGTTCAATTTGTGTTTTCCTAATGGCTAATGATATTGAGCATCTTTTCATGTGCTTATCAGGGATTCCTTATCTTTTTTGGTTAAGTGTTCAAGTCTTCTATGATGCTTGAAGAGCAGTTTCAGGTTCACAGCAAAATTGAGCAGAAAGTACAGAGAGTTTTCACACATGCCCAGATTCCCTCACTATGGGAATCACCCACCAGACTGTGATGAGCCCACACTGACACATCAGTGCATCGTTGTCACCCAAAGCCCATCATTCACACTGGGGGATCACTCTTGGTGTTGTGAATACTATGGTTTTGGACAAATGTATACTGACCTCTATCCACTGTGATAGTATTATACAGCACAATTTCTCCTCCCTAAAAATCCCCTGCATGCTACCTATTTATTCCTTTCTCCCTTGAATCGCTGGCAACCATTCATCTTCTGACTGTCACCATGGTTTTGCTTTTACCAAATGTCCTATAGTTGGACTCACAGGGTGTAGCCTTTTCAGATTGGCTTCTTTCACTGAGTAATATTCATTCAAGTTTCCCCTATGTCTCCTCATGACTTGATTGCACATTTCTTTTTTGTGCTGAATAATATTCCAAAGTTTGGATGAACCACAGTTTATTTATTCATTTACCTACTAAAGGACATCTTGGTTGCTTCCAACTCTTGGCTATTATGAAAAAAGTTGTTATAAATATCTGTGTGCAGGTTTTTTCTTGGACATAAGTTTTCAACTCCTTTGGGCAAATGCTAAGGAGCACAGCTGCTGGATCATAGGGTAAGAGTATGTTTAGTTTTGTAAGAAACCATGAAACTGTTTTCCAGAGTGGCTGTACAGTTTTCATTGCCACCAGGAATGAATGGGAGTTCCTGTTGCTCCACATCCTCACCAGCATTTGATATTGTCAGTACTTTGGATTTTTGCCATTCTAATGGGGATGTCAATATGAGTTTTTAATAAGAACAGGTCTTATGTTCTCTAAATTATTTTGGGTTTGTGTTAACTAGAGGAGGCTCCAGAAATTAGTGCTCTGCAGGCTTTGAAAACTTAAAAACTTAAGGTGTCAAGAGAAGACATTCTATAGGAGGAGCCATGGAGCCACATATATTGCCTTAACCCCTCTTCTGGATTGGGCTTCTGGTTAAAGGCAGCACTATCTCCACCAGGCCCCCAATCACCTTCATTTTTATCTAGCATCACACACACCTGCCACTCTCTTTAGGCTCAGAAAGTGGAAAACAGCCAGGAGAATGTCAAATCCTGTATTAGGACCTAGACATTTCATGTTTCACTCCTATGTAGAAGTGGTACATTTCCACTTTACCTCAATTCAGCCCAAACTAAGGGAAGCTTGTCTAGAAAATTAAGACTGAATACTATCCTATGAGTTTAAGCTGATCCAATCATCTTGAAATCTCTAAAATAAACATTTACTGGAAATATCAAACATAGGATGACCAAAATTATCTTTATGGGGTCTTGAATTCTTTCTCTGTGCAAATGTGGACACAATGAAGGGGGAGTTTGGGTCTACAATCCCTTTCCGTGCCCTGCCTGCTCTGTATCTGTCCTTGCCTGCTAGAATAATTAACAAAAAGGATTAGAAATGTTTACTTCTCACGGAAGAGGTATCGCTGTGAGAGATGGATGTTGGTGTTCTTCCTTACTCCCCTCACAATCCATTCGCATGGGATGGAGACTCTGGGTCCCCACACCATCTTCCCCCATCCCTGGCATGCACTTCTCCTCTGTCACTCTTCCTTGCAAGCCTGCCCACCCTCTGTTCATGAGCATGGCAAGCCTGGCTTACCATCCCCTACCTATGCCCACCTTTCCTTGATTCCCAGGGCTTCCCACCAGAGGTGTTTAAAGGGCTTCTTAAAGTGGCCCACATCACTGTTTCTGTGTAAAACCTACTCCCCAGAATGGTTATCTTACATTTAAGGTGAGATTCTCGAGCTGTCGCCTTGTGATAGTAAAGAGAAGGAGTGTATTTCTAATGCATGGAGTCAGCAATCAGGGATCGACACAAATGGGGCTGAAGGGTTTGTCCTGCTCCCGGCTCCTGCAGCAGGACGGAGCTGGAAGAATGCGGGGTTACTGGGTCCCAGTATGATACAAGTGGAATTCCTGCAAAACAGTGTCATGTATGGGATGAAGATGCGTTGGTGCTTATCAGGCTTTCTTTCTAAAATAATAAATACTTGGCCAGAGCAATGCTCAGGAAATGGCTAATGGGGCCAACGTTTGGCCTCTGAATTTTTGTACCACCTCTCAGGGCACAGAACACAATACCCCCAATAAATGGCACAGTGGTGTGCTGAGTATCACATGAAGACAAGCTGAGGGAAAGGAAACAATTGTGGAAGCAGGAAGGATGACCTCTGACCTTCTCCAGCCTTTCTCAAAGAAAGCCCCTCTGGCACAGGTGTCCTGCCCTGCTGCATAGCCAGAGGAAAGGAGTGGAGACAAAAAGACACAGAAAAATCCTAACACACAACCCAGCTGATCCTCCCCTCAGTTATCACCACTCAGTCATACCCGCTGTCCAGTCGCACACCCACACTACTGTCCCTTCATTCCTCATCCAATCGAAGAAAAAAAAATAACCACCTCCTGGGGCTTTGTGTCTTCATTTCTGGAGGGCCTCACGTCCTGTAACACTTACATACTTTTCTCTTGTTAACCTGTCTTCTGTCACATGGTTGTCAGCCATGAACTTTGTAAGGGATGAGGAAAAGATATTACTTTTTCACCCCTATATACAGAAAGAGAATGCTGAGATTTCCTAATAACTTACAGACATGGACATACACATGAATATGTGTGTGGCACATGTGTGGGAATTTTCTTTTAGCGAATAGTAGTAAATTACACATCCAAATCTCCTATGCAGGGTGATTTGGTCCAACTAGGGTGGACCTGTGGGGATCTGGCTTCCCCCTGCCCTCGCCCTCTCCCACGTAGAGCCCTGGGGTGGACCTGCGGAGGTCCAGCTTCCCACCACCCTCACCCTGTTGCATGCAGAGGCCTGGGGTGGACCTGCAGAGATTCAGCTTTGCCCCGCCCCCATCCTGTTCCACACAGAGCCCTGCATGCAGAGCACATTACCTTCTAAGTATTTTTGAAAAGAACTAAATCTCAGTTACAGATGTGCTTATTTCTCCTTAAATTTTACTTGAATGTACTCTTAAGGGAATAATTTCATGTTTAAGTCTCGTGTGAAGTCAGTGAATTGTAATACAATGCACTCCAGTTACAATTTATTTGTGGGTATAATCTCTGATTCCATCCAGAAAAAATGCAATGCATTTTATAAAACTACTTTTGTAAAACTACTAATAAAAGATAAAAGTACTTTTAGGTCTGAATGATTCAGTCTTGCCAACCATCCTGTTCTCTAAACACAGCAGAGCCCTGTTGTACTCTGCTCCGTGTGGCAGAGTCTCTAGGCATCGGTGTCGTGTTTTTCAGTAAGCATGGAAGGGGACACACATTGTTGTTCATCTTCACGGTGTCATGTTCCTGCAGTTCTAGTCTAGGGGATGGAATATTAACCTGCCCAGTCCTGACCGGAGCCTGCGTGCTTAAACTGCAGTGGCTTACTGCATGAATTAAGAAGTCCATCGGGAGCTTGGAAAGTCAAAAGGAGAAAGAAGAAGGTAGAAAGTTTACTCAGAATCTGAAACAAAACATTCTCCAGCAGAACAAGAGAACAGAGGAAGGAGGCCCTTGGGAGGCCAACCCATTAGGTGATTACGATTATGGAGACGGTACCAACCGCCCCCCCAAGTCCCCCACCCTGCCACAGAGGATCAGTTGGCAGTTCTCCCATTAACATCTTTATGCACGGCATCATTGATATTTACTCACACCTTTTAAACTGTCATTTAAAAAGATGCCTAAATAATTCACAGTTTCATTTTCCTACATTGACTTTGAAGACATCTGTAAATCTGAAAGACATTTTTCATCATTTTATATTATACTCTGCTCTTTCTAGATTTTTTCCCTAAACTTTGTAATAGTTTTTACAATAGTAATATTTTTATTATAGTAAAATATACACAACATAAAATTATCCCATTTAGTCATGTTAAGTGTACCGTTCAGTGGCATTAAGCAAGTTCACATTGTTATAAAACCATCACCACCATCCATCTCCAGAACTTTCTCATCATCCCCACCTGAGACTCTATACCTGTTAAACACTAAATCCTCCTCTTCCTTATCTCGGGCTTTTAGAAAACACTGTTAGACTTTCTGTCTCTACAAATCTGACTACTCTAGTTGTCTGATATAACTGGAATCAAACAGTATTTATCCTCTTGTGTCTGGTTTATTTCAAGTGGCATAATGTCAAGGTTCCATTCTGACCTATGTCGTAGCCCGGGTCGAAATTTCCTTCCTTTTTAAGACTGAATAATATCCTGTTGTACGTAGATGCCACGTTTTGTTTATTCATTCACTGTTTATCCATTCATCCATGGGCACATTTTGTTTATCCATTCATCCATGGGCACCTGGGATGCTCCACCTTTTGGCTATTGAAATTAATGCTGCTAGGATGATGGGTGTACAAATATCTGCTAAAGTGTCTGCTTTCAATTCTTTGGGGTATATGTTTCATCAGAAGTAGAATTGCTGGATGAATCAGTAATTCTATTTTTAACTTTTTGAGGACCTGCCATACCTATTTTCCACATTAGCTATACCATTTTCCACCGCTCCCTTAGCAATGACTTAAGGGTTCCAATTTCTCCACATTTTTGCCAACGCTTCTTATTTTCTGGTTTTTATTGTTGCTGTTGTTTTGGGCAGGAGCCCTCCCAAAGGGTGGAAAGTGGTAACTCATTGTGATGTTGATTTGCATGTTCCTAATGATGAAAGATGTCAAGCATCTTTTCATGTGCTTATTGGCCATCTGCATATCTTCTTGGGAGAAGTTGTAAGTCCTCTGTCCATTTTTTAATGGGGTTGTTTGTTTTTTGGTTGAGTTGTAAGTAATTTTCTCCCCATTAGTTTTCAAATTCACAATTCTATAAAATTTATAAAGGAGATACATTGAGTGTAGGATAATATCTTTATTTGAGGGTTTGATAAATATTTTTGGTTATTTAGTTTTGATAAAAAACTGAGGTTTGATAAATAATTTCCTCATTAATAACATAATGTATATCAAAGCTACCAATGCCGTGTCTGTACAAAGTAAGTACTTGATTAATTTTAGTTGAATCTGAATATGAATTATCTTTTTTGGATATTCTATGAGGGTACTGTATTTCCAAGAAGAGAAAAAAAATGAAATACAATTATCTGACACAAGATATGTTAGTGGAGTTTTTTATTCTGTAATGTAATAATAAAGTGAAAGGACAAGATAAGTGAATTTAATAAAACACTGTACAACATAGAGTGTTTGTATATATTAATGGTGTACTTAATGCATAGAATATTGTATATGTAGCAAATGGAGATAATTAATTTCATTTCTTTCGAGAACCTGCTTTGTTTCTCTTGGCCACAAAGCATTCACTAAAGCAGCTAGCTTCAAAGTACCCCCACTGTGGGATGAGAAAACACCTTGTTTTGCCTGAACAAATGGAGCCAATATGCCAGTTCACAAATGATTTTTTTTTCTTGGAAAGTCAAGAAGAAAAATCTTTCAACCAAATTATATGATGCTGAAGTTCTAAAGCCCAGCTCCGAATATCATGTTCTGAAAAGATTGTAGTGAAGAAGAAGCGTGGATGTTTACATTTTTTAACAACTAAGGTATTTTCCCCTAATTAACATTCTTCGAGAATCATAGTAAGACTGAATGTGCTGGTGTGAAAAAGTAGGACAGTTATTCTGCTTCTGCTCTAATAGCCAGAAAGAAAGGGGCGGGGGCTAGGAGCAGATAGTTATATTTGTATTAAATTCCACTTTAAAACATCCTTTTTTCCCTTCCTGAATGGTGAATGCAATGCACTTCATGCTGCAGAGGGCCATGCTGATGTGGCAGCAGTTGTCTTCGGAGTAAAGGCCCCACGAACCTGCACCCTGTTTGCTCCCAGGCTTCCGATTGCTCCTGCTGCCTCCCCGCCGCCAGGCACCATGCAGCCTTCGAGAGCATGACCAGCTCCTCCACCTCCACTCCCACCTCCCTATGATCCAAACACTTACCAGCTGCTGGAAGCCAGTGGACAGCCTGGTTTGATGGCCAATTCCTATCACTGGGGCTCCCTCTGCATATTATCCAAAGCCTTCAGCATACAGTGACTTAGCATGATGTGTAGTTTCCAATGAATGGACCCATTTTGATGGCAGACACATTTACCATAGCTGGAAGATTAAAATCACTTTAATTATTTTAGGTTTAAATTTATTGGTCTACCCTTAACTCTACTCCTACCTACACACTAACACACACATACAAAAACACACACGCGCCTCCCTTTTTGGAACAGAGGCATGGCAGAGTTTCAAAGATAAAAAAGGAAAAACTTGAATTAGATTTTTAAAAATCTGATTTGCAGAAAAAGATAATTGCCATTTTTTAGCCCAGCATGAGCAAATGACAAAGAGCAAATTCTGTCTACCTCTGGCTACTTTCATCATTGGAACATTAATTGCCTTTTTCAACCTGTAACTCTTCAGTTGTTTCCAAGTTAAAATAATTTTCACAAATGAATCCTTATTATTCGCTTTCTCCATAAACACTTAACGTTACGGCATTCAGGCTGCTAGAAATAGCTGTATCTGTGTGTGTCCACTGGAAATGAGGGGCAGAAGATGACTCACTCCCTCTACTTTAGGATAGCCTGTGACAGTCATTCATCCACTTGCTGCATATCGTTTGGGTACCAGCTTGATGCTACAAAGCCGCTAAGCAGTGGGCATCTGAAGATAAGCCACGTACCACCCTGGCCTTAGAGAACAGTCTCCAGTGCTCTCCAAAAGAACTTGATGTGATAATGCAAATGTTGTGTGTCTGCACCGTTCAGCCTGGTGGTTCAACCCTATGGCCATTTAGCACTTGCAATGGCCCTTGTGGAACTGAGGAAGTGAATTTTTATTTTTATTTAAGTTTACTTAACTGGAATTCCATAACTAATGGCTGCTACACTCGTGGCTATCGTATTGGACAACACATGTCTAGACGAAGACACAGCCAAGTCAAAGAGCAACAACAATGTGTGAAAAACATGTGGTCAGTAGAACAATCCCCCACCCTCAGCCCCACCCCAGGAAGGCTCTGGGAATATGTCAGGTTACATGGCAAAGGGAAATTAAAGCTGTAGGTGGCATTAAGGCTGGTTGACTTCAAAATGAAGAGATTATTCTGCCTTATTTAAGAAGGCCAAATGTAGTCACAAGAGGCCTGGAAAGTGGAAGAAGGCAGAATGAGAGAGTCAACTAGAGGGAGACCTAGCTAAGAAAGGCACTGATGGACATGGACGCAGCATCGCTGGCTTTGAGGGTGAAGGAAGGGGCGGTGAGTGAAGGAGTGTGGGTGGGCTCTGGACCAAGGACAGGTAAGGACGTGCATTCTATCCTGGAGCCTCCAGACGAAGTGGAGCTTGGACACCTGAACATGGGCCCAGTGATACCCACATCAGGCTTCTCACCTCCAGAGATGCCAGGTGGTAAATCTGTGTTGTTGAAGCCAGGTAAGTTTGTGATCATTGGTTAAAACAGCAATGGAGACTGCGTGTGGTGGCTCATGCCTGTAACCCCAGCACTTTGGGAGGCTGAGGCAGGCAGATCACCTGAGGTCAGGAGTTTGAGACCAGCCTGGCCAACATGCAGAAACCCCATCTCTACTAAAAGTACAAAAATTAGCTGGGTGTGGTGGCAGGTGCCTGTAATCCCATCTATTTGGGAGGCTGAGGTAGGAGAATGGTTTAAACCCAGGAGGCAGAGGTTGCAGTGAGCTGAGATGCTGCCACTGCACCCCAGCCTGAGAGACAGAGCCAGACTCCATCTCAAAAATAAAAAATAAAAAAAAAACAGCAATGGAAAATGAACACAGGCCGGGTGTGGTGGCTCAAGCCTGTAATCCCAGCACTTTGGGAAGCTGTCACAGGAGGATCACTTGAGCCCAGGAGTTTGAGATCAGCCTGGACAGCAGAGTAAGACCCTGTTCCTACAAAAAAAAAAGGGGGGCAGTGGTGGTGCATGTGTGCTTATAGTTCCAGCTCTTCCAGAGGCTGAGGCGAGAGGACTGCTTGAGCCCAGGAGGTCAAGGCTGCAGGGAGCCATGATGGGCACACTGGACTCCAGCCTGGATGACAGAGCAAGATCCTATCTCTCAAAATTAAATTAAATTAATTAAAAGTTGTTTAAAAAAAAGGAAACACACCCACATGATGATAGAGACCTCTTCCAATGATGAGTCCCACCCTGCTTTGGGGGTGATGGTCATGGCTTCACTGCATGAAGAGTGAGGAAGTCTCAGCCCAGGAGACAGGTATCCTGGAAGCCAGAAGAGCGTATGCAGAGGACCAAGGTCAGAGGACCGCCTGCCTCTCCTGGGAGGGAGCAGCGGCTGGATGTGGAAGAGGGCGGCTCAGAAGGGGTATGGCCAGGGGGCAGGGCCAGCCTCTCCCCACAGTTCGACTGGTAGATCCCATGGGGTATGCACTTAGCCAAATGAGTTAATTTGTGAAATTCCTTACCCTGTTTTAGAAACAGAGTGCAAAATTCCAAGGCTTAAAAAACGTAGGTATCCAAACATATTTAGTATATTCATGGACATGAACGGTGCCAATTAAAGAAAAGTGAACAGTTAATCTTAGCGCCAAAGCCTGGATGCCTGTCTCTCACCTGTCCCTTATCCTCTTCCAGCCGCCAGCCCCATTGTGTCCCGGAGCCAACTAGCGTGGCACACTCACTCCACCCCTTTCACTCTCACTGCCAAAGAAGTGAGCCTATGTCAAAGTGAAGTTTAATATGGGCCCACAGTAGACTTGTAAATACCGCCTTCTCCAGTCACGTTCAAGGGCAGCGTGATTCACGCCCGTCATGCTGCTGTTGCAGCCGCGGAGATGTCAGGAGGTTAGAACTGATCAGAAGGGTTCTCTAGGGTCTTCTCTCCCAAGGCAGAGTCCTCCCAGAGCACAGCTCTCATGTGGCCACCCAAGTGCTCCTGAGTTCCTCCAGGGACAAGACGTCTTGCACAGATGCTCCCCATTCGTCAGTGAACATCTCTTAAGCACCTATTATGCAGGCAGAGCTTCAGACACTAAGGGTAGGGCTGTGAGTGAGACGGAAAAGTCCTTGTAGTCACTGTCTGCAGACAGAGCCCGCAGCAGCCCCTCCCTGAGTGCACCTGTCCCCCCGCCTCACACGAAGGATGGAGTAAACTCCCCTACGTGGGCTCATCTTGTGATTTGCTTTGTCCTGTGGAATGTGGCAGAGGTGATATCATGGGGCTGCCAAGGCCAGCCCTTAGGAAGATGCTAAGGAAGAGAAATTAGACATGAGAGGGCCTGTGGGGAGATGGGGTAGAGGATGAGAGGCCATTTGGATGTGCTGTGTTCTGGCAAGCTCCCAGCTGCAGCCACACTAGTGACCTCTGCCAACCTCTGCTAGAGCTGAAGAGCCCCCCCAGTCAAAAATCACGAATTGTTGTTTTCAGCTACTAAGTTTTGAGATGTTTTGTTACACAACAACAGACACTTAGAATGCTTGTTCAGCATATACACTTACAGTTTGGGAAGAGATATAGACTTTTGTTGTTTTTAAGTCAATGACAGTAAAACTGGATATAAGGTTATTAAAAAATTTAACAAGTGGACCCAAATGGTAAGAAAATTATCTGGTCTAGAAAGTCTCAGAAGTCTCCAAAAGGAACATCATCTCAGCCAAGACTGGGAGGATGAGCGCCATCAGGCTCTGGGAACAGCATTTCTGGAAGGAAGTGACACAGAACATTGCCAGCTTGGGAAACTCAGCACATAGTAGGTGCTTATGAAAGATTTGTTGAATGACTGAACAGTTATGGCGAAATCACAGGATTAGTGGGGGGATTACCATGGATGAGGCTGAGAAGGTAAAGTTCAGGCCATAAAGAACTTTGTGGACCAGGTCATCTAGCTTGGGCTTGATCCTTGGGCATTGAGAAATCAACTCGTTAAAAATTTTCCCTGGAAGGCCTTCCAGGGGTCTTGTTCCTGGAGCGAACCTTGTCTCTGAGTCCTTCTGTTGGTTTTAGTCAGTTGTTTTAGAACAGATTGATCTTCATAAGCCTGGATATAGGATTTTGTTCTGCCTTCCACTGGTTTATTGTTGAAGATGTTGATGGACAAGCCAAGCCCTGCATTTGTTAAGTGAGGACCTGAGACTCCTGTGTTCAGATGACTGACCTGGGGGCAGCAGGCTGCTCCAGGTGGAGTCGTAACACCTGGGTTTGAGTTTTGTATTTTACCAACTGTGTGACATTAGGCCAATCACTTCGGGACAATGATCTGTTTCCTCATTTGTGAAAGGAGGTGCCTCACTTTGGGGAGCTGCAATGACAGGTGGTATGAAGGTCACCTGGACACTGTGAAATGCAGGGTGCCCTCTATTAATCATCATCTCTCCCAGGCTGCAGGGGAGGAGAGAGAGGTCTGTGTGTGAGAGGTCTGTGTGTTAATCGAGGCGGGGAGAACCAAGGGTCTACATCATTTTCCTGGTTCCCCATCCCTGCCTCAAGCTGATGTCCTGTGGGCTCTGATCTTCCTCCCTCCCTGCTATGGCTGTGGTCTTCAGAGAGAAGATGCTGCTGATGCTTATGGCCAGCACTGGACAGGGAGCCCTGTTCTCCGGTGTTTTGTTTTTAATCCTGGGGACGGTAAGAGGGTCCACCCTAAACAGCAGGATCCAGCTGTATTTAGCTCTTAGGTTGTTTCTCCACTCCCAGCTCCTGTCCACTTAAGCTAGAGAGGAGTCTACCTTTCTGTTGACTCATGTCCCTGAGGCAATCGTGCTAAGAGGAAGGAGTGGCTCTGCCATCGGCCCCATTACTTTGTTCTACTCATGGAGATAAGCTTTGGCAGCATCAAGGATCAAAGTATTTTCTGGCCATCCCTCTTCATCCTGTACACATTTTAAACCAAATTACTTTAACTCTTTAACTCAGAATGTTGTTACAGCACAAGTGTCTCTTTTTCAAGGGAGAGAAAATAAATATGATTGCACACAGCATGAACCCTGGCGCGTTGATTGACAAGTTGTGTATTGCTTCCTTCTAGCTACCAAGGGTCTAAGATCATGAATCGATCTTTGTGAGAAACTTTCTGTGAGTTGGAAAGATCTTCACAATGTGGCACACGTGCTTATTCGCAAAGCACCATTGACGGCAATAATTTCAAAAGGAAAATATTGCATTCTTTACCACTTTCCCAAAAAGATGATTATTTTGTTTGTATATTGAAAAAAGTGAAGTGCTAGAAATAGATCTCAAATGTCCATTGATGTTTAGAACAAAATGAAAAGCTACATTTTGTTCTAAACATCAGTGTATTGCTCAATTAGAATTCGAAAGCAGGAGTGGTTGCTCCACTCCCCACTTCCGGTGTAGGTCTTTCAGTTTGCTCGTTCTGCCTATGTTATCACCCCATCCAAAAAAATGGCAGTGAGGACTCCCCCACCATGAGTATGAAGTTAGGACTATGCTGGGAAAACTTTTGTGAAAACTTTTGTAAATTGTGAAGTGCTTTGAAAGTACAGCAGAGTACTGTGGTTAGCATATTCTTACATCTAAGGAATTATATTGTAGATATTCGGGTTCAATAGTGCCGAAATATGTTTAGTTGAAATGTTGGCATAAAATATAAAGAAACAAACAATATAAGTAAAATCTGTTAAAGCGACCAATAATATGGAATAGATTATTCAAGAAAGCCAAAACTTTGGAAAGTTAAGGTAGCCACAGCTAGAGGAATGCTGGGTGCCAGGGAAGCCATGGCTCATTCCAAGGTAGGCTTCTCCAGGTGTTCGTTTGCTTCATTGGTGGGTTGTTTGAGGGAGAGATCAGCCTCTTAAAATGTATATTTAAAAATTAGGAGCTCTTTAATTATAACGGCACACATGAAACTTTCTAAAAATCCTATAGCTGTCTCCTGTTGTTCTTGGCAGTTTGGATCTCATCATAAAATTGTGTATAAATTATGCTTCCCAACTGATGTCCCTGAGGTGACATCCTATGGAGGAAATGGCTGCATGCATTGATAAATGGATCCTCTGACAATTATATGGATTCTGCTATAGACTGAATTATGTCCCCAACAATTTGCAGGCTGAAGCTATAACCAGCAATGTGACTGCATTTAGAGTAATGAAGTAATTAAAGTTACATGTGTTCATGAGGGTGGGGCCCAGATCCAACAGGATTCTTGTCCTCAGAGTAAGAGATGCCAGAGCTCTCTCTCTCCATCATGTGACCACATAAGAAGGTGGCCGTCTATGAACCAGGAAGAGCACACTCACCAGACAGCAGACCCTGCCAGAACTTTAATCTTGGACTTCCCAGCCTCCAAAATTGTGAAAAAATAAATTTCTGTTTTTTTAAGCCACCACCCAGTCAATGGTATTTTGTTATGGCAGCCTGAACCGACGAAGACAGATTTCACTAAATTCTTAGAAAGTCCCTTTGCACATTGAGAGTAATTCAAGAGGAAAGCCTCACTGATTTGCTCTGACAGTGATTACATTGTTGAAAATTCTCTCTGCTGTCCCCAGGCTGTGGCCTTTTGCATCTATAATATGTTGATATGTGTCCAAAGATAATAAAACGATCCAAATGTTAAAAGAAGAAATCATTAAACGTAAAAGATTTGAAGCAGAGCTAATTTTATATCAGAGGTTTGTGTCTCAGACACACACTTACGGTGAGGGGTAATTTTTCTTCTTTGAAAATAAACCTACACTTTAATTGGAAGCAAAGTTTGGTTTAAATTGTTTCCTTTCTTTTATTTATCCTGACTAAACATGCTCTTTTTTTCTGCAGAACACTTTTTATAATATTACAGTTTATTCAGTAGACTATTTTATTCCATAGACTTTTTATTTTCAAGAGAGCAAGGCTTGATTTAAGATTTTCCATTTCTGTAGCAGACACCCGGAAGACGCAGAACATTTGGTATCATGATTGCTTTGGAGACAAAACGTCTCTGGTAGGCAATTAGACAAATGCCCTTAAAAAACAAACAAAAAAAAGATTTTACTCCAAGATTTGTTTTCATTAGCTCAAGTATATAAAAACCCACTAACCTCAAAGCAATACTATAGTGTTACATCCATCATTCATGCATCATTCAGTGTACCAGAGAAAGCTGGGGAAGTGTCTTCCCAGAGCAGGAATAGGCAGCGCCTTTAGGCGCACTCAGGTGTCTGTGTCTTCAGGACAGACACCCAGCAGCGTGGACATGGAGCCCTTGCCTGCTTTTGAATTCTCGTCCCAGCATTCCTCACTGTGCAACCTTGGATAACTCAACCTCTCTGGGCTTCCATTTCCATGTGTGGAAAATAAAGTCCACTCTTGCTTCATACACGTATCAGTAGGATCAAGTGAGTTAAAAACTGGAAGGTACTTCTAGCAGCACATGGGGTAAATGGGTATTATCTGGTATAAGTAATGACCATTGCTTGATCCATAGAGTAAGAGGTTCATTAAATCCATGGGTTGTTTGAAGGAAGGGAGGGAGCTCCTGCTGACTGTCATGAGTTGAGTTGTACACCTCCAAAAATTCATATGTGGTAGTCCTAATTCCCAGAACTATGGTAATAGGGTCACTGCAAATGTGATTAGTTAAGGTGAGGTCGTACTGCACTAGGAGGGCCCTAATTCGGTGAGACTGCGGTCTTCGTAGAAGCTGATAGGGACACATAGGAGAGCGCCACATGAGGATAGAGGCAGAGATCAGGTGATACAGTGACAAGCCAAGGAATGCCAAGCCTTCTCAGCAGCCCCCAGAAGCCAGAGAGAGAGACAGGACAGATTCTCCCTCACAGCCTCAGAAGGAGCCCGCCCTGCAGACTATGCCTGGTCCTTGAACTTCTGGCCTCCAGAACTCCCAGGGAATACATTTCCGTTGTTGCACTTTGTTACAGCATCCACAGGACACTCATGCACTGGCCATCACCTGAGTGTCTCTAAGGCAAAGGCTCTGCTCCTCTCCCGAGGGGAAAGCCCGGGTCTGGGGGAGGAATATTGGTGTCACAATTAATCTTTCTGCTCCCATGGCAAGGGTCAAAGAGGGTCTTCTGGTTGAGGGTCCCCCTGGGCTCAGGTGTGGTCCAAGTTGGACCACAGGTAGAAGAAGAACAGCGAGGCTCTTCCAACAGGGTACCGGTGCCACAGGTAGCTCTGACTTCATGAGTGGATTTTCCGTCTGGCACCTGCTCTTCTAGCCGCTACATCCCATCTGTCTAATGTGCTTTTCCAACAGTCAGGCTGGTAGGCCTCTCTGAGCCCAAACAATCAGCGATCACTCTTCCATTCATTCTCTACCTTCCCAAGTCATGCCTTGCCCCAGGGCCCAGGCCAATCTCCCTCAGTTCATGAAACTCCACTGATCTCTCAGCTCCTGGCTCCTCCAGATTCCTGTGTCACCACAAGGAAACTTCCCTGTGGCCTTGGCTAGAGTTGCGGTGATTCTTACCAAGCCGTCGTTGGGAAATATACCTGTGGAAGTGTGTGTAAAATTTAGTGTGTGCACTTTACATAATAAGCTGTTGTGAAACTCAAGAAAGGTAGCTGGGCCCTTACATGTACACAGAGCTCTTCCACTGTCACATTGGGAAGATAAGTGGGATAAAATGCCTGGGGCTCAACAAATGTTAACCTTTGTGGTTGCTGTCAACACAAGCAATAATGATCTAGGACAGAGATGTTCAACCCTTTGGGGATCTCAGGGCCCAGCCAGGGGAGCAGGGGTGAGTGTCGGAAGTCTTGCTGTCCACAGCCATCCTCAACTCCCCAAACCTGCAACCAGGGCCGCTCAGCTTTCATGAGCTTACCTCCCAGCCTCTTTTTTAGTGCTGCCTTTGGAGAAAGAATGACGTGGTCAAAACCTTTGAAAATCAGGATTTAAACAATAAATTTTAAATATAAGCAAGATGCTTTCCTATAGGAAAAAAAGAATACATGAACAAAATTCAGCTTTCTACATCTGCAAATTCAACTGATAGTGAATTTAAAGGGCCATTTCCTGCCCTGTAATGATCACTGATGACATTGACAGGCTGCTTCTCTCTTTCTTGGCTGCACCTCATGGGGGCATCCTGGCACCTGCTTTGTGGTCAGGGTGTAGAGAAGACCCCCCCAGCTGTCAACTCTTTAACTGTCAACATCTGCGTCAACATCTGCTTAGAGGATCTTAGTCACACACCAACAATTCTTACTTAAAATATAAAGGGCCACGGGGATGAGTCTTTGAACTCTGCGCCCTCCCTTCCCTTGCAAGGCCAAATGTGTACACGCAGATGCTGGAGGCACATTCAGCAGGAGAGAGGAATGTCTTCATCTCAGCCCCTCTGCCTCTCGTGCCTCCCACATTTCCTCCCTTTGCCGAATCACTTCCTAAAGCACTTGATATTTTTTCTTCCAGATAAAAGCAAAGAAAAAAAGCAAGATCTCCCCTCCTGACCCCTTCCCTCAGCAGCTACCCCTCTATTCTTTGCTTTCCTTTGCGGCAAAACTCCAAGGAAGGGTGCTCTCTGCTCTGCCCACCGCTCTGCTTTCCAAAGGTCCCCAGTGGACTGCGTGAGACTAGGTCCATTTGTCCATTCTGCATTGTCTTTATGTTTGGCCAGTGAGAAGTACGTGGCACCGGGGACAGCTCCCTTTCACCCCCTCCTTATTCACCTCCCACTGTGAAGACCCTCCAGCTCAGTCTCCGTCCCACGGGGCTCTTGTCTTCTGAAGGGACTCTCAGTGGCGGAAACAGGTCTCCTCCTTGAAGCCCCTCTCTCCCCTTTTCTATTTAGCCCCATCGTGCCCTTGTTGGCATTGCTTCCAATACCATTCAGATGCTGAACATTTTCCAGATTTGCCATCCTCGCCCAGCCTTGCCTCTGGTGTTTCTGACTACCTACTGAATGTCTTGGATAATGTACAAGCACATCTCAAAACAGATCCAAAGCTCTATTCATGATCACACCTTTTGAACCTGCGTTTCTTGCAAATTTTCCTTCTCAGCCAATAGTAACTCCAGCCTGCTGATTCCTCAGGCCAAAGTGTTGACAGCTTTTTTTTTTTTTTTTTTTTGCACCGCCATGCCCAATCTATCAGGGAAATGTGGCTTTGCCTTGCACAAATCACATCACACGTCACACAGCCTGTGTCACCATCACGGTTAAAGACTTGTCATCTCTCCCTCCATTGCTTGCAAACCTCCAGTAGCCTCCCTGCCTCTGTCATTGCCCCTTACAGTGTATTGCTAACCAAGCAGCCCAAGGGAGCCCTGAAGTGCAAGATGGCAGCCGTCTTCTGCTGAACTGCCCTGCAGCTGACTCCCATGTCACACAGAGTGAGAGCCAGGTTCCTCCCAGCGCTCTGACGGGGGGAAATTTATCTTCACTTATCCCACAGGCTCTGGTCACACAGTCCCGGCTGTTTACTGGAACACTCTCAGTCCCCCCAACCTCAGAACCTTGGTGCTGTGGTGAGAACACCCATCTCCCAGTGTCTGCGTGGCTAATTCCCTCACTTCCTCCCAAAGTTTACTCAGAGGGCACCTTATCAGTAAGGCCAACCCTGACCACACTACTGAAAACTGCAATATTTATCCCAAGCTATTGATTTCCCTCACCCTCTATGAATTATTTTAATACATGGCACATATTACCTGCCAATATACTGTTTAGTTTACTTTTCAATTACATAGATAATCAGTGTTGATTGTCTTCTGCTGTGATGAACGCCCCGTGAGCATCAGAGTCTCTGTCGTTCACTGATGTATCCTGAGACACATGGTAGGTGATTGATAAATATTTGCGTAAATTAATTGAGTTAATATCTTGAAAGGCAATGTGTGTGTGTATATATGTATATATATGTATATATGTGTATATATGTATATATGTATATATGTGTATATATGTATATATGTGTATATATGTATATATGTATATATGTGTATATATGTATATGTGTATATATGTATGTGTGTATATATGTGTGTATATGTGTGTATATATTTATATATAAATATAAATGTATAAATATAAAAATATAAATGTATAAATATAAATGTATAAATATAAAAATATAAATGTATAAATATAAATGTATAAATATAAAAATATAAATGTATAAATATAAATTTATAAATATAAAAATATAAATGTATAAATATAAATTTATAAATATAAAAATATGAATGTATAAATATAAATTTATAAATATAAAAATATGAATGTATAAATATAAATTTATGAATACAAAAACATAAATGTATAAATATAAATTTATAAATATAAAAATATAAATATATATAATATAAATATATTTATATATATAAATATATATTTGTAAATATATTTATAAATATATATTTATAAATTATAAAAATATATATTTATAAATATATATTGAGGGGCTTCCTTGCTGCGCAGGTGCCCTTCATACCCTTTGTCAGTAGCATGTGTTGGCGGAGACTTCACTCCTGCCCTCTGCTTCTCTCCCTCCTGCCCAGGGGAAATGCCCTGAGCGCCTTTTCTGCAAGTCCCCGGCTCCTTTTCTAGAAGTCAGAGAGACTTGTCTGGGGATGAAACCTATTATGCTTGTTCATTCTTGACTCATTCTGGGGTTAGCTAGATGTGCCTGGGCCATGCTCTCCACTCCCCATCCTGCTGCCTCCCAGCAGGCCCAGAAAAGGCCCGTGCTCTTCTTGCCACCCTGATGGCAACCCAGTAGACACAGACACGCAAACAGAGGGCATGGGATGCCTGCACAGCCTTGGGTCGGAGCATCATTCCCAAGTCACCTTTACTGGGAACAGAGCAGATATTGTAAGCACTACCTGATTCCTGCAAGCATCTCTTAACTGACAGAGAATTGCCCATCAGAAGGAAGATTGTGGGATTAGCTTGCTCAGAGCTCCCAGCAATATACACTGACATCAAGAAAACAGTGTGCACTTTGCGGGTAAGTCTCCCACTACTGTTCTTTTCTCCTTTAAAAATCCAGTTCAGTACCCTGATTGCAATTGTCCCTGGATAAATTTTGCTGGCCAAAAAAAAAGACACTAAATAAGATATTAATCATAAACATCAGCATTATCTGATGTGTCCACTAGGAAAATCTTACATAACTTGGTTTATATTTTTATTACTTGGCTAAGAGTTGAACATTTCTGATGTAGGACATTTTCAAGGTACCTAGCAAAAGATATTTGTCACCTGCACATTTGATAATGTGCTCTTTCTCTGTAAGGGATAATATACTATCAGAGGCTAAGACTTTGAACAGGCCAAACTGCTAGATTAGAGATTCTGGATAAAGAAGATATTCCCTGAAATGATTTGACAAAGCTACATAATGCAAAGTTTTTTTAAAAAAATAAACAGTCTGAACTCACCTCTCAATTTCAATACATTAAACTTGACTGGAAGAATGCATCCCGGATAAAATTATCAATGACTGTGCTGTTGTATGAATGTTGGAAGGACTTGATCGTTTAATTGAAGGTCAATGTTCTAGGAATGTTACAAACCACAGGTGCTCCCATGATGGGGTGATGATGGGGACGAGGTGGGATTCTGTGGAATATTCCTGGCTCTAAAGTCAAGACAAGCCCTAAGCCTGTCAAGACTGATTAAGAAACAGGATACCCATCCACCTGCTTCCTACACATTGGAAATGTTTCTGCACAGGTGTGCACAGTGGAGGACTGTCCCTCCTTAACAGTAGAGAGGAAGCAGCTCTCTCCGGGCACCATTAGGGAGACCTGTGTGGACAGGCCAGTGCAGAAGACCTGCGTGGACCCAGTAGGCCAGTGCCTAGTACCTTAGTTGCCTCCCACCTCCAGTTAGCCTTTTGGGTTCTGATGCCTTCATGGGCACCAACTGGTAGAGCTCTGCAAGGTCATGCACCCAGGATCGAAACCCCCAAGCACTTCTGCGACTGGGGGCCACTCCCTGGGCCCACGAGGATGGGATTTCGGGAGCACACCCTCAGCTTCACAAGAGCAGTGCGACTTTTCCTCGCCCGGCTTAAATTTAAACAAAGAGAAAGCCACTGTGTATGCTTCCCTGGCAGCAGGCCTGACACTGTTGATCAAGCCAGGCCAAATCCAATTAGCCTGCAGCCCCCCTCCCCACCTTATTAACCTGCTCAGCTGCGAGGGACTCAGCAGGCCCTGCCAATATCTCATTTCTCCAGCGGCCGATAACATCAGCTGAAGACACTCAACGGGCTTCCTTTCACTGCAGCTCCGGCTCATCCCGGCCACGAGCATCCTAGCCACGGTGGCCGGATCTGATTTTCCTAGTGAAATAGGCCGACAAGCCCAAGGCCAAGGGCTCGCGCTGGCACGGACAGGATGGGGCCCTGGTGGGGAGCGGCTGGGCCCGATCCCCCTTATCGCAGCCGGCCCACAAAGCCGGGCCAGGCCCGGGCGATTAGCATTCCTCCCGAGCGCGCCAGGCCTATTTCTGTCACACAGACAGATTGAGCCTTTCACTCAGGCTCGCGAGTGAGTGACACATAGCCCGACCGGGAGGACAACATTGTTATTTGAGTTAAGAAATCAATTTGTATCAAATGTACACTGTAATTTATTTGTTGGCTTTGAAGGGAGCCGAGCTGAGATAAATGGGAACGGGCTCCTTTCTTTCCCCCTATGCCGAGCTGATAAAGTTCTTCTGAAGCTCCAGATAGCTGTAGTCAGAGCCAAAGTGACAAACATGTTTAAAGTTGCACAGTGATCTTTAAATCTCAAAAAGAACACCTTGTCGGACATGATAGAACATTTTTTACCTTTTCCCTCTATCTGTCAGAAAGCCGCTGTGACACATTGCTTTAGTATTTTTGCTGACATTTTCTTTATCAAGCACATCTGTTTGTGGGTCGAAAGATGCTTATTCCTATTTTCTTCAATCTACAGCAGGCAAAGAAACTGCCAAAAGGAACGGAGAAAATGAGTCTCTCCGTCCCAGCAGCATGCTCGGGTACTTGGAGGTTGCTGTTTGTTTGTTTGTTAAATGTTACTTATGTTTTACCAGGAATTCTCACCTTCTCGACCTCCTCCCCCTCCTCCTCTTCCTCCTTCTTCCTCTTTTTCACATTTGTCTTCATCTCCATCTCTCTGTTTGTCTTTATTTTTATATTAGTTTAAACTATTCTTGCCCTAGAGAAGAACCACAGAGTTTTATTTTCCCGCCTGCCCCTGTTGTAAATTAATATGTGCAGCCTCTGTGCACAGGCTGTGATCTTTGAGATTCCGGGAATACCAGGGAAGGCTCAGTCCTACGTAGCTCCAGCATGTTGGTGACATGGAGGGACTGCGTGTGGAGGGAGGAAACGCTGAAGCCCATCGCCGCTGGCAGACTCGCTTCTTGACATTTTAGTGCAGTCATTGTGTTATCTCTTTCTTCGTACTTTTAAAGATGTGTCATAACTGTAATATGCCAGGCCGGCTGATGGCATAAAATATTGATCGGTTTTAACCTGCCTTCCCTGTGGCATGGGGTTCTGTGTCCTCTTATGGCTAGAAGGAAAAATGAAGGATCTTAGGTGTTCTCTGTCTCTGGCCATCTGCTTGTCTGACCTTGTCTGTTCTCACAAGTGTTAGGACAAAGCTCTATGGGAATTCCATTTATTCTAAGATAAAGCTAGAATATTCCTAAGATAGAATGTCACAAGCTCCTTTTCAGTGGGTAAGCCGTTGTGCTGCAGGTGACTAGACCCGTCAACTCCGTGCTTAGGGCTGGGTTCAAAAACAAGGGAATGATTTTCCTTTTTGACGGAATTTCTTTTCATTGGTTAAATGGCATCACAGTGGAATTTGTAGTGCATGTAACTCGTTATTTGTGAATTATTAAAAATCAAACTTGGGTATTTTCTGGGGAGTGCAGTATAATTTTAGACTCCTGCATTTGGTCTCCAAACATTTCCTGACCACTTTTGTCTCTCTTTGGGCTCTGGGAACAGGGAGCACGGCAGGCGCGAAGCTGGAGGACATGGCGCAGCAGAGGGGCCTTTCCCCAGGGTTTCCAGGGTTATACGTGCCCTGACAGTGAGGTCTGCATGTGCTGTATGTGCATAGTGAAGCCATGTGAAAGCAGGACACCCGCACGGTGGCAGAGTTGTTCAGGGGCTGCTCCGCCAGCCTGTCCGGCCACACCTGCCCCCTTCCTGAAGCTGCACTCCAAGGCTTCTCCTTCCCCTCCCACCTGACTCAGCCCCGCTACCTGCAGAGCTTCTGTTTCCCCGCTCCACCCAAGCATGCTACCCTTGACGTGTCATCTTAACCCCTTTCACACGTGAGTGTCAAGATTTCCATTTGTGGGGCTAAAGTAAAGGATCTCAATCACTGGAGATCCTTCTTTGCATAAAACAAATTAACTAACTTTCCAAATGTTGTAGTTTTAGAACTCATTCTCCAGAAAATATGCAGGAGTCAGAAAATAAAGTTTGTTTAAGTATCTGGTAAGTCAGCCAGACCACTCAGTGGAGAGCAGTATTTCTCAGGCTCTAACACACTGCTCATGAATCATTGTTTTGTTTTGTTTTGGTAACAGCTTTATTGAAATACAATTCACTACCACACAATTCACTCCCTTAAAGTGTACAGTGAAATAGCTTTTAGTATATTTACAGAATTTGGCAACCATCATCACAGACAACATTAGAGCATTTTTATCACATCAAAAAGAAACACTGTAACCTTTCATGATCACTCCACCATCCATTGCCCCCTGGTCCCAGCCCTGGGCAATCACTAATCTTCCTTCTATCTCTGAATATGGCTCTTCATATAAATACAATCGTTTGAGATGTGTTGTTTTGTGACTGGTTTCTTTCACTTAGCATAATGTTTCCAAGGTTCACCGTGTCATAGCATGCACGCTTTCGTGCTTCATTCCTTTCTGTAGTTGAATCGTATTTTATGGTAAGGATATACCCCATTCATTTCATTTATTGATTCATTGATTGATGGACAGTTGGGTTGTTCCTGAGTTTTGGCTAAGATGAATAATGCTGCTGTGATCATTGATGGACACGTTTCTGTGTGGACAGGTATTCTCATGTCTCTTGTGCTCATACCTAGTACTGAGAGTGCTGGGCTGTATGTTTAACTTTTGAGGAATTGCCAGACTGTTTTCCCAAGTGGCTGTATCTATGTACTTTCTTTATGTACAATTCAAACACACTGATTAACTCTTTTTCATTGAACAGAAGATCAGAAGCAGCAGATTAAAGCTGCCCCAGACCATCACTATGGAAAGAAGCAAGGAGGCTGCTTAATACTGATGAAAGGGCAGAAAGAAAATAAAGTAGCGTATGAATTTGGGGAAAAAAAATATCAAAGGGCAAGTAGAGTCATGGATGTAAGTTGAACAGCCTGTATCTGTTTCTAGAGTACATAGAGGGTCGTTGCATAATTGATATTTAAACAGTTTACCTCTATGATAAGGAAAAGTAGAACTGTACCCTGTATATTCAGCTTAAGGAGCCATACTATGGTATATAATTGCATTTAAATATAATATGAAGCTACCATGGAAGGTATACGTTTTATGTGTGAGAAAAAATAATGCATTTAGGGGAACTGCTTTCTTGCCAGGGGTTGCCGAACAGTCAAGGAGCTGCTTTGAGGCCGTGTGGATGCAGCACTGTGCACTAGGACCTTGCCCGTGCCCCTGGGCAAGTTAGGCAGTGACGGTGATGATCCTGCTCAGGGGGAAGTTCCACAGGGTCCCTTCCTCACTGCGAGGAAGAGGAGTTTTTATCACATTAAAGGGCTTCGGGAATGTGAATTAGCATTTTCAAAATATTGCTCTGATTAGCTGAGTGTTAAAGAATAAATGCATGAGAAAATTTTAATTTTAATATATACATTGCTGGTTATTCAATTAGCTATACTTGTTTTTGTATTTATGCCATGTGAGGTTGTAGATTGAGATTCCGTTGTTGCTTTTTGAATTAATTCTAAACATTAGAGTGATAATATTTGTTTTCTTTCTGTATGGTTGAAGGACCGTTTTATCAGTACACATGTATCTATAAACAATATTAATAACTAAAAGAGCCTATCACAGCACTTTAAACATTAATATGATAGGGCTTACTAAAGCTGTATGTACTTAGACTGCAGACAAAATTTGAGCATAAATGGTTTCATGACCTCATCAGAATTAAAATCCACAGCCTTGGAACTAGGCATTCATGATCCATTCAATCAATTTTACTCTCCATATGCAATGCTTTTGTATTTCCTGTGACGAGGTAAGATTTTATGATAATAATCCTATAATGCAATCAGTGTAGAAAGCATACACATAGTTAATTATAAAATGCAAAAACAAAAAAGCTGCCCTCCTGCCTAATCAGGACTCTGTCAGAAAGGGAGCTTCATACTTGTACCAAGGAGCAGTACTTACAGGAGCAAAAACTCTGAAGTTACCTTTCTGCTCTGGATCTGGTTAATGGCACCCTGGCTAAGCTTCGCCTCACCTACTGGTCATCCCCATTCCCATGTCTGTGTCTCCTTCAGAAAACACAGAGGCGGGAAAAACTCATTCCTGACTGCAGGATGTCAACCAACCAGTAATGCGAAGTCTGCATCTCCTGCCATCCTCAACCACGGCCCACCCGTGCCTTCCCTCATCAGCCACATAAGGTGAGCCATATTCTGCTCAGAATGAATGAATGCATGAGCAAACAAATAAACAGGCGTTCCTACACCCCCTGGGGGAAATAGTGGCTATACTTTGTCAAATGGAATTGGGAGATCAGTGGGTCTCGGAGGTCCTGTTATTATTTTTCATTAACACAGAACAATGCTATTCCTTTCAACCTGGAAAATTTGTCTAGTGTTTATTGGACTGATGTTTGGGTCCTTCAAAACCAGGCTTGGGTAATTAGCATGCATTTTCAACCATGGGTAGAACTTTCTACTCAGGAAAAATAGTGTGATAAGCCTGAATTATAAAATGTGTATTTAAATGCAGTTTTATTACTTTTATGTACATTATACACTACTGAGTGAGATATAAATCTGTATTACTATTAGAGGGTGGAAAAATGAAAAAATACAATATCACATAATACATTATAATTATAAAAACCACGTAGCATATGGAAATTAATTGCTAGGCCCAGAGCTGAAATCATGTGAAGACATTTTAAAATTATTGAGTCCTTGTTTTGAGATGAAATTGCTTTTACCTTAAATTTTCCATGTTCCTGATTAGTATCCTGGCCATTTCCAGACATTTTTTTGAGATACATAAATTTCAGTCAAAATCACATATGCCAGGGACATGACAGCAACATCTGAACGACTGGAGTTCAAGGTATTGTTAAAACAATATTCCAAAAATAGAGCGTGCGACCGAGGCAATTATATGTGGAGAGATAATCTGTAACACAGTAGCAGAATGGATGGAATTAAAACAGGAAGGCACATTGAAAATGTATACCTATTAAGATGCTAGAACGGTTAATAGTATTTGCTATTTTTTAAAAAAAGTTAATTAAAGGGTTTGTGTTTTATCTTGCACTGTAAAGAACTCCTGACAGGCATTGTTATAATATGAAATGCTTCATTCTCCAGCAGTTTAATTTAGAGCAACAACAAAGATGGAAAAACAGAGAAATGAAGCAGTTGAGATGTTGGTTGCCGTCTGGCATCAGCTCCAGGGAGACGTTTCAGGGAAGTGCTTGGAGGGGGCCATGCAAGCCCAGAGGCTGCCTGAAAAATCATATTTTCCCTGAAATTGTTCCAGGCTACAGTGTTTATGGGAGGCCGTTTGCGGGATATATGCATGCCTTTGACTACCTGGTGGAGACAGAAAGCCCCAGTTAAGGCTGGCCAAGGTGATATCAGGACACAGCGTGGATCCCACGAGGCTGCAACAACAACCTGAAGTTGAGTCTGCAGTCACTGGCTCAGCTACGTGGCCATGGGCCACTGCATCTCCAGAGACTGTCTGCAACTAAACCCACAGATGCAGTTTCTCAAAACCTGCCTGCCTTTATTTCCTTCCATGCTTCTGCCTGGACAGTTCATAAGATGTTCCAGAAAAATAATGTCCTGTAGTTATAACCATATCTTACAAAGAATTTCACAGAGAATGGGATTGTCAGGAGGTAAACATATCAGTAGTGACTGACAAGAATCGGTGCTCCTCTAAGATGAGCTCTGTTCTGTAGGTTCTCAGACCAGAAACCCTGCAAAGCAGAAAGTGCCCAGTCAAAGCATTGACTCTGCAATGTGTGCTCAGTACGTCTTATTCCTGCATGAATTGCTACAAATGCAGACAACCTCTGCTTCCACGGACACCCTTGTCCTCTGATTCTCCCATGTGTTAATATGATTCTATTGCACTAAGTCATTTATTAACGATCTGTCCGTTCATCTGACTCAAGCTGTAGTTCACATTATTTTTCTCTCCAATTAGAGAACATGCTTCATGGAGGCAAGAGATTCGGCCGTATTCACTATTTCATGCTAATTGTGTTACACTTTCTGTATCAGCATGGATATCAACACAGTGGAAGGAATGAAGAAAGAGGAGAGAGAAAGACGGAGAGAAAGAGAGAGAGGGAAGAGATATTCCAACAAAAGACCAGGAATTGGATATTTTTGATTAAGAAAACAAAGTGTCTAACAATTCTTAATCATAGTTCTTCCAAAATACTCTGAAAATACAGTTTTGTTAATATTTATATTATAATATTTATATGTCTTCTATTACTGCTGAAGTCACCCATTAGTGAGCACTCACATGGGATACAAATATCTTCACAGTTTTTGTCCACTCAGATAGGTCCATCCACATACCTCTTCGTCAAATTTCTTTGTCACCAATTTTCTAATCATACTTCTTCCAAGTCCCTGACCATCCAGCCAAACCATTGGCTACAGCCCATGAATCAGTGTATAATTGTACATCTGGCCATTTCTCCTTCCATGCAAAGGGCACAACCTGTTGCACTGCTGGAAGTTCTGCCCACTGGGAAGATTTGGCTTCATCACTATCCTTCAGTTATGTCCTGGAAAGGGACCGTAGTGCTGCAGCTGTCCACTTTCAGGTGGTGCCTGCATATCCTGCAGAACCATTTGTGAACCAGGCCTCAGTCTTCTCGTCCTCTGTCAATTGATCATAGGGAACTCCCCATAAGACCATCGGTGCAGGCTGGGGGAGAGAAGGCAGGGTGCCAGGAGTGGAGACCAGGGGCATTTGAGCCACTTCCTCATGTAACTTACTTGTGCCTTCAGGAGCTGCTTGAGCCCAATCTCATATGTACCACTTCCATTTGATAATAGAATGCTGCTGTGCACGACCCGCTTTATGGCTAGATGGGTCAGAAAGCACCCAGTTCATGATAGGCAGTTCAGGTCGCATGGTGACTTGATGACCCATAGTCAAACATTCAGTTTCCACCAAAATCCAGCAACAGGCCAAGAGCTATCTGTCCTTCTGGATTATTTCCACCTTGACACACTCTTCTGCCCTGTATTTGTCTACAGAGCAAGAGCTAGCCCAGCATGTTGACATTTATTTAACTAAATGTCATTCCAGGTTCATATGTAAAGCTCCCCAGAGCATCCTCATTACTGCTAAATAACTTGAAACTTTTCTCAGTTGTCCAAATGTAAATTTGGCAAGGACTCTAAAGTTCCCAGCCGAAATACAATGGATGACATTGTGACCTTGAAGGCCTTCCTTAAACCCTAGCAATACTCTATCCTCTGGATGTCACCAGGTTTAGTCATTTGGTGAAGGTATCATCTGCCTCAATCAGGAGACAGACAAGAGTGGAGTTGCTGGAATTGTGGAAGTGTGGCCACCCTTGACCTGATTAGAAGATAATGGACCTCCTGGGAAGACAATCTTGACTCCAAACTAAACAAGACCAGGAACATTGCAGGACAAGACAACTGGCTAGAAATATCTCAGAGCCCAGGTTGGGACCTGTGGACAAGGATGCTGCTCTCCAGAAGAACAGATGTGGGGACAAGTGTAAGAGGGACAAGTAGCATATCAGCTTGTAGACTCATGAGGAAGATTCAGAAACACATGCCTAAATTCTAATGAGATGGATTATAAAGGCTCAGCATGGCCCTGCAGGAAAGAAAAGTATGTGGAACTGTTTATAAAGGGAAGAGTTCTGTAAGTGTAAAGAGCTAAAAGAATATGACCATAAGTCTGGAACAAAACTTCTCTTTGTTATGACCTTGACCTACAATTGGTGTGCCATGCTGTGCACCTAAAAGGGCTCCCTGCATGTATAAAGCAAGAGGTATTTGTTGAGGATGACAGTAAGTTTGATGCTCAGAAAGGTGTGAAGTGTGCTGGAGACATCAGATGTCATGGAGCAAGACCTAGGGAGGTGAGACAAGGGACTCAGATTCTGTCCAGCCCTCCCCTTGGGGCCCTATGTGAGCCACTCTAGCAGGACTCCACCTCACCATTTGTAAGCAAGAAGAGCAGCATCTGGCTTTGCCAGATTCACAAGGCAGTTGTGATATTCAAACGAAAGCTAATGAAGCACAAGTGACCAACCCTGCATCTACCTGGAACACCCCTTGGCCCAACACGAGGTGTCTGGCAGTCAGGTCTCATGTCTTCCATGTTCATCTCTTAGTAATACCCCTTCTTCAGCAAAGGGTCTCTCTAGGCCATGCCTTTGGATAATTTTTCATCAGGAAAATTACTATTACTTATTATGGAAGAGGAAAACTATGTCATCTAATGTCAAATCCAACCTTAAATGTAGGTGGAGTAGGTACAACTAAGCACAATGATTCAAGAACTATGCTTATATATAATCATCTTGCTTCATGACTGCCCAGTATCTTTTGAGCAACCATCTTCTATTTTGGGATTTTCTTACATCATTGTCCACCTCCCCAGAGAGGAGATAGGAACTTGCTTTCCTTAGCTCTCTTGCACTGAAGCACAGCCCTATGATAAATATTCTGCAGTTAGCTGTCTTGTGGAGGCTGTGGTGTAGAAGATAGTCCTTTGAGAGAGCAGGCCCCAGGTGGGACCCACCTTTTGTGGAGGAGGCAGAGGAGGCAAGTCGCCGTTAAGGGAGTGGCAGTGGTGGAGGTTCTGAGGTCCAATGACCAGCATCAGTCGTGAGAGTTATGTTGAAAGCCAGCAGCAGTGGATAGTATGGACTTTCTAGGGGTCTTCAAGTTGCCCAATAATCTTCAATAAATGCTGTTTTTTGACCAACGTAGCTGAAGTGGGTTCTGCTGTTCATAATTAAGCTGAGAGGCTTAGGATTCTGCATAGTCTCTGTCATCTAAGTCTTCTCGTATGTCCCCATTCTGATGCCAGTGCACACTTCCTTCTTGGTAAAGCCCCCACTCTCACACAAAATCCCTGGAGAGGTTGTGAATTCAACTAGCCTTGCCATTTGTCAAACCACAGGTTCAAACTTTGAGCTTGTTCTTAGATGACTCATCCCTGATGCAACGTGCAAACAAGGGGATCTATTAGCACAAACGTGGAAAGCCCATAATTCTCTGAAGCTGCTTCAAGGCACAGATTTAACACTCTAACCTTACGACTGACCTTTTTTAAGTGCCCAGCACAGTTCTAAATAGCCAGTCCATTCCACATGCGCTTGTGCCTGCCATACTGGTCTGTAACATGGTCGTTTGGTCTCTTCAGTTCTTGCCTTCAGTCATCACCTCACTCCAAGGACCAGAGTGATTCTTTAACCTGATCTTTCACTACCAAAGACCATAAAGTGCTGAGTCCCATCTTCTAGTAGCATTGGATCTTCAATGCCTACAAGCCCCTCAGTTATTCTCAGGTGTCTCCAAATCCTCTTTTTCTCAGTGGTCCCCAAATCCTCTTTTTCTCAATGGCCAGTGACCTGCAAACAAGCCATGTATGACCTGTATTCTGCAGTTGCTCCAAGATCCTAGCTCCACCTTAATGGAGTTTTGAAGCTCCATCTCACCGTGTCCCTGCTCACTGTCATTTCTGTGGCTGGCAAGGCTGTTTGTAAACACAGGGAGCTACAGAAGCAGTAGCTTGGCAGGCCCGTCCTCAGCCCCGTGTCCACTGTCCTTGCTGGTTATGGCCTTTCAGAAACACCCAGTGTCTAAAATACTGGGATGAGGGATCTTTTCCTGTGAAATACAGAAATTCTATTCTGGACTTCCAATGCAACCTGTGCTTCTGGAGTGGAAAGGGGGTGCAAAAACTGCAGGAGAACTACTGAAATCGAAATAAAGCAGCTTTGCCCACCTAATTTTCCCAGGCAGCTCTATTTCTTACCGAGTTTTGATGCTGAGTTAAAACGTCCCTAATGCATGCAAGAATAAACTTTGCAAGTTTTAGTGGAAAAACTCTGAGGCCTGGCAGTGCGCCTGCTGTATGCCTTCATGCCGTGCACAGTGAACCCAAGGTTCCCTTCCAGCTCCTCTACTGCAAGCACAAAACAAGGCTACCATTCTCTTTCTAAAGTTTCCATCAGTTCCCGTCCACTGGGGGATCTCGTGTTTTCTTTCCTTTGCAAGTCTTTTTCACTCTTCTGGCTGTCTTTTAAAAAGAAAGATGCTGTCCTTATTATAATCTCTACAAATAAAGCCTGGCTTTCCTTTTTACTAATTTTCTTTCTTATGCATTGGGTCTCAAAGGAGTGACCCCCGTTCTTACCCTGTGCACAAGGGCTTTGAGGCTCGCTGACCGAAATTCAACGTGGAAAACATTATTTTAAAAAATCTACTCACATCCATTGATAAAAGGGAAGAAAACAAATGTGGAGCCAACCATTACCAGTCCTGGAGGCACACAGTTTCACCTGCTTTAAATCTGAAGTCTTTGTTACCACTCAAAAGCTGAGATCTGATGACTCTGCCAGGACTCGCTCAGCGACACACACTCAGACGGGGGCCCCAGCCTTCTCCTTTCATAAACACTTTCTTCCTCACACTAAACACAGTAATGCATTTTCTCTGAGAAAACACTGACTGCGAAACCTGCTTTCTCATGGCTGGAAAGTTGCCTGCCCCCAGGCTGTGAGCAGAGCACCCAGACACAGGGCTGAGCGTGGGCCTGGCTTTTACTGAAAAACAGCCTCGCCAGCCATGGAAAGGGGATGGAGCTGCAAAACTGCATGGGTAAGGTGGAGACCAAGCTCTTGGAGCACCTGCCAGAATTCTCACAGTCTGTTAGCACAAATAAGCCTCTTAGGCATACCAGCCTGGTGCCCTTTTTTCTAAGTGGGGAAAAATAATATGTCAAAGGAAAAACAAAAGGCGATTATGACATGTTCTCTCATTTAACTATCTCATTAATAAGCATTATTGAAGATGCAATTGCATTCTGTCAGCATGTATAGCATTAATTCACAGTTAACACATGTGTGAAATGACCTCTTTTTACACCCCAAAGAAACAAGCTGATTTAGAGTTTGTCTTCTTCAATATTGGGCTTTGATTCTAAGCCAGTAATGAAATTGATCTTCACTTTGGTGCATCTTATTTCATGCCAGGGACAGGCCAGACCAGGTAACAGTTTGGATCACAAATTTTTTTCTTCTCTGATTAAGGCAGGATGTGAGACTTAAACAAAATAATGTTTAATTATTGTCATTTAAGTAAAATTATGGCAGCGACACATTTGCCCATGAAGGAATACGTATGGACCTGCCCCTCCTGTGACTAGATTTCATTTTCATTTGTCCCTGACATATGGGAATTGAATAAACTCATCGCATGAAAACAGACATGGTTAAGAAACTAGCCACCTGTAACTTCACGGGGCATGAATTGATGGAGCAACAGGGCATGGATAGGTGGAGCCAGGACCTTGCTCTAAGACAGACGGAGAGTGGGAAGAAGGGACTCCCCCACCTGTGCCTCCCTGCAGTGGACTGGAAGATGGAGCTTGAGCCAACGAGCTCTGACAGGGGCCCTGCCACTCTGGGAAAAAGACTGCAGCATGCTGATGGGGCAGCATTTTCCCCCAGCCATGCACTTTTGGAAAGCTGGGTCCATTCTGGGCCAGCCAGAGGAGGGCCAGACTTCTCTCCAGGACCTCGCAACAGCAGCCCTGAGGAAGCAACATATTGCCCTGGGCTGTCCCCGAGAGTCTGGGCTGTTGTCTGGCACCCAGGGGCTGTTTGGGTAGCTGGATCCCGTGGGAAACACCCACTGTGCTTGCTGTCGGGATACCCATGCCCACCCATCAGTGCTGGCCAAATGGTAACGAGCAGAAGCTTCTGTGAATACACTCACCAATCCCCCTACAAACCATATACCCTTGGCTTAATCATGCCTGGGCACAGAACACTGGCTAATGTGTCACAGGTATGTGGAAGTCCGGCATACAGAGAACAAAACCAGAGACATAGATTGGAGTTAGGATTGAGCAGAGAGCAAATGCCAACAGGAAACCATAACAGAGAGGACATTTCACTCTCAGTACAATTGTGTCCATCTTCAAAGTTGCTAGTGTTTATCTGTATTTTTAAAAAATCTAAAATTGCATCTTGGCAGTAAGAAAATTTCAAAAATAAATTTATAAGGAAATTGACACTATAACAATACACAACGAAAAGTTAATCTGAGGTTAAAACTACTTAGATAGAACCAAACCCACTCCTTGTAATTGAATTAACAACTGAAGTAATTCATTGAGAGATGTGTATTCCAAATGATACAAATCACTAGAAAACACACTTCTTCCTATTGCATTTGTCTCTTGTTGAATATATGTATGTTACAGTGTAGGAAACCAACATCCAGAGAAACGAACTCACTGACCCCCAGTTCCCCAGAAGGAAGGAGGCATTCCTGACTGGCACCCACTGCCATCTTCTCAGGACATTCTGTGATGGAGCAGATCAAACACGATCTCATTGTTTTAATTTTAAAAAGTGAAGCTGTATTTTGAATTCATGGTTCAAAACCAAGTGGACTCTCAGTGTCACATATTATGTAAAATATGATGTCCTTTTCCTCATGGTGTAGAGGGCTTCCTGAGTTTTCCTAACACAATGGAAAGTGAGTTGGGCTGGGGGGTAGAGAAACAATCTTCAGTCGCACTTGAGAAATGGACCAAAAAGACACAAGCGCTTGTGTTTACATTTCTTTCCCTTAAGCCTGATATACTGCATACATCCCTGAGATGGGTATTTATCACAGTCTGAGTTTCTTTCATATATAAATGATCACTGTGTGGGCGGGCATCCTTGCCTTTAGTATCTGCTGTTGTATCCAAGCACATTACAGAGCACTATTGGCACATCTTAGATTCTCAATACACAGGTGTAAAATGAAACCGTGAGTCTGCCCGCCCCCCGCCCCAGCCCTCCATGAGAGCAGGACCTCCCTCTTCTTCAGGGCATGGTGAAGGGACATCAGTGCCTGAGAGCAGCCTCTTCTCTAAGCAGAGCTGCCCCTTCTCACCCACACCCACTGTTGCAGGCCAGATGTTACACGGCGGGTTGGGGCAAAGGTCCCAGGCCTCGTATGGAATGCCCATAAAGTCCATGATGGTCTGGGAAGATGCATGGTCAATGTAGAAAACAAGATGATATGTAAGATTATGGGTGTCCTAGAGTCTTCTTGCAAAAAACGAAATGTTAAAAGTCCATTGAAAGGTGTTATTTTAACAAATATTTTGAAAACCATAAAGTAGATCCAAAAAGAACTTATGTAAAACCATCCAACATTATATGGCAGGTATCTATTATTGTAAAAATTTCTTTCTTTCTTTTTGTCCTTTCTTTCTTTTATTATTATTATTATTATTATTTAATACAGGGTCTCACACTGTTGCATAGGCTGAAGTACAGTGGCGCAATCTTGGCTTACTGCAACTTCCACCTCCAAGGTTCAAGTGATCCTCCCACTGCAGCCTTCTGGGTAACTGGGACTACAGGCATGTGCCACCACACCCCACACCTGGCTAATTTTTGTTGTTGCTGTATTTGTTGTAGAGATGGGTTTTCACCATGTTGCCCAGGCTAGTCTTAAACTCTTGGGCTCAAGTGATCTGCCCCCCTTGGCCTCAAGGTTCCAGGATTATAGGCGTGAGCCATTGCACCCAGCCCAGAATTTCTTAAGCAGGAATCAGTAGCTCTAGCAGGCCCAGGATTTACAAAGGCATCTCCCACACAATGTTGGAAAGGAACCGCAGCTGTTAAAAATCAGTGTTCAGTTACATTCATGTGACCCAAGGACTCTGTTGAGCCTGGTGTGTTCTGAGAGTCTCTAAAAGCACTAAGAAAGCCAAGTCACCATTTTTCTCAAGACCTTTACTTTTGGCGGTCTCTTCTTTGCATTTAATTGTTTTAGGTTGTACGTGCCAAAGATTCTTCCATTCTTCTAAGGATATTTTTCTTTCAGTATACTGAAAATTATAGCAAATCAGTAAATCAATGACCAAAAAATGACATTTAATTTTTTGATCAAACATGACATAAATTTTTACCCCACTGTGGAAGTTTTTTGGTTTGTTTGTATAGTTTTCTCTGTTCTACTTTTACTTTTCTAAACATCTTGTCTGGCTCAGATCCTAAAGAATGCAGCAGAGCCATTTTGATTTCCAACTGTCAAGCCTTGGGATAAATGATGTCAAGAAAAAGCCTAATTGTGCCTGGTTTAGACTGCCATGTTAAAAGGGAACAATTGGGGTGACAGAGAAAGAATCTTCTCTTGGCACTCAGGAGACCACAAAGCATGATGGGCCTGCTGGGTTGGCTTCTGTCAACTCCCTGTGGTTTGTGCAAAGAAATTTCAACTTGCTTCCTTCCACTCCAGACTCTGACATGGGCAGTTCCCACCCCCTGGCCATACCCCCTTGGCATTGCCCAGGCAGATGGGCAGACAGGCTCCATGAATACAGTTTGCCCCTGGACTGTCTTTCAGCCAAAACAGGCTATACTACTAAGAGGTGCATGTTGATGCTGAGTGGGTGTACATATTTCTGTGTAGAAGAGCCTGGCTCAGCTGACCTGTGAATAGTCAGTAAGCAGTATAATAAATGTAGAAATAAGTTGGTTCAGCATCATCTGCCAGCGTGTAAGTTCTGTGAAGTCATGATTTTTAATTGGTAATAACTATTACAAAGAGTCAAAACAATCCATAAATACAATAACATTTTTCAAATAGAAAATAAAATAATAACAACTGTATAAATAGAAAAACAAGCTGGCAAAAAACTTCTTTTCAGTCTTTCTGTAGGTGAGCAGGAGAGGAGAGGCAAGACAGAAGACAGCAGGAGAACTGCAGGTGTGAAAACCAACCCATGACGGAAAATGGTAGATGGGCCAGTTTCCAGGAAAGTTGTGTGGCTCCTCTCATAACAAAGACATTAATTTAAATGATGTAAATTGAAAATGTAAAAAAACCTATCATTTATCACATCATGAAAATATACACCTGAGAGAACTGCTGCTTATTTACCCAGAAGTAAACGCAGTATTCAAACCCCACCAATAAGCTTGCCTTTCACCCACCCATTCATTCAACACAAGTCCCTTCCGTGTCAGGCACTCAGTTAAGATTGTGGTCATTCTTTTCCCAATAACCAACTGCCTCATTTTGTGTTAGGGCTGAACTTTTGGTTTCCTTTCAGCTTTCTATGTTCTGAATCTTTCAACCAGAAATGACATAGCAAAGAAAAAAGCTCCACTTATTATTTTTAAACATTCATTTTTGGATTCTAGGAGTTGGATAATTTAGTTAACCTAAATTAAAAATAAAGGTTTTCTAATGGTTCAAATATGAGTTATGACTCATACCAATTATGAAGCACATCAATATATTGAAGATCAATTATTTGATCAAGCATTTGTTCAACACTTAAAAAAAGAACTTAGAACACTTGTGGCCAATCAGATGGCTGCTTTGCATCACCTTCAACGCTGAGTATCAGGAAATGCACTCAGGAACAGCCCTGAGCTGGGCACCAGCCTCATAGATGCTTTTATTCCTCCCTGGCTGCCTCCTCATCCACAACCAGGGGGCCTCGGTTGAGCTCTGTGATGCTGGAAGTATTAATTTTCTGTGGCTGCTGTGGCTTAAAACGGCAGAAACTTACTCTCTCACAGTTCTGAAGGCCAGAAGCCCAAAATCAAGGTGTCTGCAGCACCCCCCGCCACCCCTCCCCCAGCAGAGGCTCCAGAGAGGACTTTTCTTTGACTTTTCCAGCTTCTGGGAACTCCAGGTGCCCTTTGGCTGTGGCTGCCTCATTCCAATCCCTACTGCCGTCATCACAAGGCATTCTCCTCTGTCTTCTCTCCTGTCTCTTATAAAGATGCGTGTGATGGATTTAGGACCCACCTGGATAATCCAGGGTGACCTCTCCGTCTCTGGATCCTTAAATTTATTCCATCTGCGAATGCTTTTTTCCAAAAAAGAAAAAAAAAAGGCCACTTTACAAGTACCAGGGATCAGCATGTGGACATATCTTTGTGGGGACAACATTCAGCCCCTTCCACTGGGCAAGCCACCTCCTTATGTCATTCCTGCATATATTTCTCTGATATGCTCACCACAAATAATATATCTACAGAGGGAAAAATATCTACCAAGTTGTTAGAGAAGTGTGGGAGTTTCGTAGTATGAACAATTTCAGGTAGACTATGACTTGCTTTAGCCCAGAAATAATGGCACAGCTCTAGCAAACGGAGTTCCCATCTGAAACGGGAGGTAGTACTTTAACCACTGAAGAACAAGCTGCCATTCCATCCAGACCTGATGAACCCTTCATTTCATTCAGTGACACAGCCGCTTCCATTTGTATTATCTATGACCGCTGCCAACCCAGCTGTTGTTTTACTGACAGACCCGGACATACTTCTGAGAAGTCCTCTTGAAGGGCTTCCTCTTTCAGCTTCCATAACCTGTCCTTCTTCCTCACCAAATCCTGCAAAAGCAGCTCCATAAGGATTTTGAAACTAGTTTCATATTCTGCAATGCTTCTGTCCATGTGCAACTCCTTCCCCAGTCTGGGCAGCCTGTCCTCAGGATTATCTGAGCCCTCAGGGCCCCAGCCTGCTCTGCCCATGGGCACTCAGACATTGGCCTCTGCTCAGAATCACCTTATCACAAACACCAGCAAATGAAAGTCCCCACATTTCAGTTATGCTCCCTCTATCCCCCAACCGCTAAGACTACTCTGCCTTTCCATCCAAGACTGTTTCTAGAGGAATAAGTGTTTTACCACATGATTGAACTCTCCCACGCCCTCCACGGAGGTTTCCTCACCCTTGACTAAGTCCAGGTGAAAGTTAAATTAGGTTGGAAGTTTTGCTATTTAATAATTCATCCCACTTAAAATTCAAAGTGCTTTGCGGAGACTTTTATGGGGCTATGAAATTCTTGCAGAAGCCTCATGAATATTGAAGTTCTGTTGACTGTGTGAAGGATTTATTGGTTCACCCAGCCAGTTCACTAGTTTAGATCTCTGTCAATTAGTTTTAACCATCATATAGTACTAGAATTCTCATTGTCCAGAATACAAACTTTGACCATGAAAACATCTTTTTAAAGAATGCTCCCATTCTGATGGGATCTCAGCAGAAATGGCTGATAACTATCTCAAGCCACAAATTTGCATAAATCCAGAGGTGGGAGAGAAAAATTACTGTACTTACCTTTACGATAGGAACATTTTAATGAATTTTGACATATTAACCATCTAGCACATGGTGGTCTTTTTGAAAGCACAATGGAATTGTACCTATATTTATGCAGATTTTTTTCCACAGATAATTTGTGCTTAAGTCAAATTTCATGCAGCTTTTAGTTTTTCTTTATTAGCCTGTACAGCTCAGTCCCTTCCTAGCTATTACATATTACTGACGTTTCCAGTTCAGTCATTTCTGTGAGATCCCAGATATGCCCTACAGAAGGAATAATAAAACTAAGTAAAATTTTATTACGAGGGAAAATGCCCATGGCTGTAAAAGTCTTTTTATAGTGGTCATGTTTGGTTTTAATATTTCATAAGAATAATCCACCTTAAAGAAACATAACATTATGTTCAATCCCTTCAAGGATGGTGAGATTTGAAATTGTACAGGTAAAATTTTATCTGATGTAACTTAAAAAGGTTTGGATGTGCTTCAGACTGAGATCTAGAATCCAGATGTCTCGTCTCCAACAAGTTCATCAACCGCATGTTTTACATCAATAAAAAAATGGCAATAAAGCAAGAATTTGCAGGTATGTGGAAATGACTCACACTGCTAACATCTAAAGAAAAAGTCAGAATGGAATTTGTTGATAAAATAAATCTAAGTCACAGGTAAATGGCTTAAGTGGCTCTAACTTGAATCAACATAAATTATGATATTTTAAAACTGGAGTAACTGCTCCTAAAATTCTTTGAAGACTGTTAAGTAAATAATTATGCTATTGTTCATAAACACTAAATGGCATCTTCATAATTATGCTGCAGAGCCTAATTTTACTTACTATAATTTTGAAAATGGTATAAAAATTTAGTATTAAATTATTTGAAGAGAGGTCAAAGGTGACTTATTTCTACTCTGGAGGCATTTCCTCTTCTTGACTTTTACAGCTGCCAAATGACATAGATTTATAGCAAATCAATTTCACGACCTCCAGGGTTGAAGTGCTGGTGGTTTTTTTTTTCTTTTTTTACTTTTGGTCATGATTTGTGTGGGTCTCCATCTCCAGTGAAAACACTAACTGGATTTATGAATGCTGGAGCCCGGGTGGAAGGGTTTCCTCTTTCACCTTCCACAACCTGCCCTTCTTCCTCACCAAATCCTGCAAAAGCAGCTCCGTAGGATTTTGAAACTAGTTTATGTTCTGCAATGCTCCTGTCCATGGGCAAATCCTTCCCCAACCCAGTCTGGGCAGCGTGTCCCCAGGGTTATCTGAGCCCTCAGGGCCCCAATCTGCTCTGCTCATGGGCGCTCAGACGTTGGCCCCTGCTCGGAATAGCCTTATCAGAAACACCAGCAAATGAAAGTCCCTCCGCATTTCAGTTATGCTCCCCATATCCCCCAACCGCCAAGACTACTCTTCCTTCATATATATATATATATATATGAAGTTAATTTTTGAAAAATTGAAAAACACAAAAAAGGTAGTTTTATAGCTATAACACAATTTTTTTTAAAAAAAAGCTTGTTCACTGGGTTAAAAACTGGATTACCCAGTGAAGAGTAAATAAAATTAATATGCTTATTTGGAATTAAGTGGCCAAAACATGAGTGGCTACACGACAATCATGTGTTGCATAATGACACTTTGGTTGACAAGAGACAACCAACATTTTTCAGCCCCATTTTTATCTTATGGAGTCACGCCTGTAGGATGGTGATCCCATCAGATTAAAATGGAGCTGAAAAATTCCTATTGCACAGAGACTTACCATTTCCTCACGGTTGTCTACAGTATTTAGAACAGTAACCTGCTGTGCAGGTTTGTAGCCCAGGAGCAATAGGCTATGCCATCTAGCCTAGGTGTGGAGTAGGCTCTACCATCCAGGTTTGTGTAAATCTACTTTGATGTTCACACAAAGACCCAGTTGTTACATGACACATGGTTGTGTTTTATTTAATGTGCTATCTAATTATATAGATTTATCCCAATTACAGCAGTTGCATGACCATGGGACCCTTGCAATAGATTTTTTCACTGTCATTCACCACACTGGCCCACATATACATGCCGATCAATGTCCTGAAAATTCCTCTGGGATCATGATCAGGAGATGCTGGCCCTGGTGGGGTCAGGTTAAGATTTCACGCTAAGTTTACTGTTGATAAAAATAAAGCTATTGCCTTTTTAGGGTCAGAAGTGGTTTGATTGATTACATCAGCCAGGGCCATGCACACTTATTATCAGGAGCTAATAAAACAGTCAAATAAGTTAAACATTTCTAAACAACAAGCTATAAATAATACTCTGGATAGCAAGGGTGTCCAATCTTTTGGCTTCCCTGGGCCACATTGGAAGAAGAATTGTCTTGGGCCACACATAAAATATAGTAATACTAATAATAGCTGATAAGCCAAAAAAATTGCAAAAAACAAATCTCAAAATGTTTAAAGAAACTTTCCAAATTTGTGTTAGGTCACATTCAAAGCCATCTTGGGCTGCATGAGACCCACAGGTCGCGGGTTGGACAAGCTTGCTGTATAACATTCGTCTCACCACTAGATATAAATTTAGGTGCTTAGGAAATAAACAAGATTACCAACTATCCTCGGTCCAGGTAAGGATTGCCCCTTCCAAGGGCTCAGAAAAACAGGGCTTGGTGACAGCATTCCAGAAAGAGGAAAAGTGGGATCAGTCCAGCCTGACTGGGGAGAGAAGGTGCCAGCCATTGTTATGGGAGGTGGGATGTGCGTCTGTGTGCTAACTAGGAGGCTAACTAGACCGGATAAACAAGAGTGCGGCAAAGCCTCCCTGCAAAGTATATTATGTCATCGTCACACATATAATTCTGATAACACACTAAATTCTCCTTTCAAATCTGACCCTTACAAGTACAGTACTAATGTTTTGGAAGTTTTATAATATAAAAATGTTTTATTCCAGTCATATTGGATTTCCATAATTTTGGTTCACCTTTACAGATGATGAGTTGACTTACATGTTTACATCTAGTAGCACAAGTAACATTAAGTTTATTTAATTATCTCAATTGGGAAATGGCATAGTCCATAAAAAAGGGTTATAATTGCATATCAAGTCATTACTTTCTATTTCAAACCATATTTTCCTTATCATTTCCTAGGTTTTATTTCATGCAGTGGTCATCAAAAAGTAGTGTTCATAAGAGAGACCCCAGATGTCTGTTAAGATATCAGTTCCCACGCCTGAGGATCTGATAAGGTAGATAAGACTCCAAATTTTGAATTTTTAACAGGATCCCCAAGTAATCTGACACAGGTACTCCTTGGACATCTCTTTGAGGAATACTGTTGTAAACTGTACACTCTATAACTCATAAATTTTAATGAGGAAAAGTCAATGGCATTTATTTGTATGGACACTAGCAAAGATGATTTCAGAATCACTTGAGAATTGCCGTTGATGTAGCTTGACCTTGACACGGCAATGAGCTAAACTGAACAGCCGTCAGCAGGCTGCCTCCAGGGCCAGTCCAGGCATGAGAGGGTCTTCCTGTCTTCTCTTACTGACTCACTAAACTTCACTTGCTTTTCATATGGCAGTAGAAAGTGTGTCTACTGGTACACAAGAGGCATCTAATGGGCCCTTTGCCATGAGACAATGAGGATTGACTGAGCTCCTGTATACCTTATATAAGATATTTAGCCCAGTGCCTAACACAGAGCACATGGTCAATAAATATTGCTATTGTTGTTATTACTTACTTTCCATTATTCCATTTAACACATTTCAGTAGCCAGCTATATTATTAGTCCATTCTCACACTGTTATAAAGAAATACCTGAGACTAGATAGTTTGTAAAGAAAACAGGTTTAATTGGCTCACAGTTCTGCAGGCTGACAGGAGGCACTGTGCCCTCTGCTTCTGGGGAGACCTCAGGAAGCTTCCAGTCACGGCGGAAGGTGAAGGGGAAGCAGGCTGGCTGGAGCAGAAGCAAGAGAGAGCGGGTGGAAGGTGATACGCTCATTTAAACAACCAGATCTCACTCACTATCACGAGAACAGCAAGGGGAAAATCTACCCCATGATCCAATAATCTCCCACCAGGCCCCACCTCCAACACTGGGGATTATAATTCGACATGAGATTTGGGTGGGGACATAGAGCCAAATGGTATCACTAGCCATGTGTCTTATCTGATCAGGCAAATTATACAGGTAAAAGGCATTGCAGACACAATGCTAGATTGTCAGTATCATTTAATACAATTAAGACCAAATGACCTCACGCTTGGTCTTCAATTTGCTCCTGTGGCTTAGTGGAAGAAGCACGGCCTTCTACCTTGAGCATTACACTTATGCTTATTTTTGCCAGTTTTTCTTTAATGCTGTCACCAGTAAAATATGATCATAAATAAAACAAGTAAAATGATGCATTTCTCCAAGAATCATCAAGGCTTCACTGATGCAATGTTTCTGAAAGCAGCTGGAAACATAGGGAACCTGCAAATTGTCAGGAGCAGCGCATTTTAACATCAGTCTCACCCATGGCCGAGCTTCCTTAATATCTCAATTGATTTAACTCTTCTCCCATATTCACAGGAATGAGATTCTTTTCTTGGCCAGAAGAAAATCACGACTTGCTAATATTAGTGTAAGCTTACACAGGCATACTCTCTGAGCTTCTGTACAGGCTCACAGAGACACCAAACAATAATCTCAATCTAAAAATGGCAGGAATGGGAAGTCCTGACAGGAAGAATAGGCAAGAATCATCATTGAGAAGGGGTTCCATCAGAAGCCAGCTGGGGAGAGTGCTGAGAGGAAGGCCAAAACTGTGCTTAACCCTTTGTATAATATGTTGATAAACTGATTCACTTATAAAACACGGTTTTTAAAATTCTCAATCTCTTAAATGGATGGTGGGAGAAATGTGTGTGTATCAGTATATCCATGTATCTACCTCTATTGAGATAGATTGATGAATAGGGTAGCTAGGCAGATAGACAAGTAAATAGATACAGATACATAGGTAGATAGATAGATAGGTAGATAGACAGACTGATTGATAGACAGATAGATGTTAAGTGTCTGAAGTAATTGTTGCACAGTGACTTCTGACCTCTCTCACAATTCTTTTTTCCGAACGTAATAAATTTTGTGGATATTAATTATCATCAAGCCATACCAAATTAAACATAATTGTCACTTGTATTCTGCATGCAGGGAAGCTAATTATTATGATATTATAACTTGGAATCATAAATGTTGTTATCTGTAGATATTTATGTATTGGATTTTCAATTAGATCTTTTTTTTCTCTCTCTCTCACACACACAAGTCATTCCATCTACTTACTACATTTTCTGCTTATAATGTTTCCAGCGAGGGCCCCTGCCTTTAGGAGGGGAGTGAAAGTTCTTACTGCCCTCTTGTAAATCCAGTATGAGGTGGCCTCTTCATATGGGAGCTGTGAGGCTGTGAGTTCCCCAACCCTTGCACGTGAGGTTTCCTTACTGTATTAGTCCATTCTCACACTGCTATAAAGAACTACCTGATGCTGGGTAATTTATAAAGAAAAGAGGCTTAATTGGCTCACAGTTCCACAGGCTGTACAGGAAGCATGGCTGGGAAACCTCAAGAAACTTACATTCATGATGGAAGGTGAAAGAGAGGGAAGCACGTCTTAACCATGGCAGAGCAGGACAGACAGAGAGTGAGGGGGAAAGTGCTACACAGTTTTAAACAACCAGATCTCTTGAGAACTCACTATTAAGAGAACATCAAGGGGGAAATCCAACCCCAAGATCCAATCACCTCCCACCAGGTCCCTCACTGGGACCCAACATTGGGAATTAAAATTGGATATGAGATTTGGGTGGGGACACAAATCCAAACCATATCACTTATGGGGGTCCTTTAGGGCTCAGGACTGCTGCACCCAGAACCTTCATGCCCACGCCACCCCTACCTCATGCCAGCCCAGCTATAGTGTGACCCTTTCAGGCCAACCTGCCTGTGCTGTTCTAATCTCCGTCATGGCCTGCAGCACTTTTGTAGCAATAGTGAATTAACACACTTGCATGTGTTAATTCTTGTAAATATTTCATTTGCACTTGAATATAGCATATATTCTGCCATTTGTTAAATGTTGTAGACACATACACATTAGGTATGTGAAGTTTTTTTGTTTGTTGGTTTTGTTTTGTTTTGTTTTGTTTAAGAGGTAGGGTCTCGCTCTGTGGCCCAGGCTGGAGTGCAGTGGTGCGATCTTGGCTCACTGCAGCCTTGACTTCCCTGGCTCAAGTGATCCTCTCACTTCAGCCTCCTCATAGCTAGGACCACAGGTGCACACCACCACTCCTAGCTAATTATTTTGTATGTTTTGTAGAGACAGGGTCTCAGTATGTTGCTGGTATGGAACTCCTGAGCTCTAGTAATCCTCCCATCTCAGCCCCCACAAAGCACTGGAATTACAGATGTGAGCCACCACGCCTGGCCCTGTGAAGTTTCTTAATAATTTTATGCAAATCTTCTGCATCTCCTAAATCAGATGTATCTTCCGTAACTGTGTGGTTCACACTCTCTACATCTTCTAAAATATTTATAGTTTTGTCTGCTCATAAGAAAGGCACATTGAACTCCCCTATTGTGGTTAGGGGTTTATTTATTTTTGCTCCTAATCATCTGTCAATTTTTGCATTACACACACTGAGACTACATTACCAGGGTCATGCACATTTAGAGAGGTGAGACTTGCCCAGTGTTAAATCTGTGTCATGGTAATAAGCTCCTCTTCACCTTTGCAGGGCTGTTCACTGTATAGTTTCCTTTAAGATCATAAAACTCTGTTAAGAAGAGATGCAGGCTCTACACCTATAACTTGAGTTTTGATGACACAGGCACAGACAACTCATCAAAGACAGAGGAGGCTGAAGGACCATCTGCCCACGCAGCAAGGAAGTATCTGGCCTGTCTGGAACTCCTGATATTCAAAGAGAAAAAAAAAAAAGATTTATACAAAAAGAAGAACATATTTTAAAAATGTATTATAAAATATAGAATAGAAAATTACGTATTTATTAAAATCATTTGTATTCCAACCCCCCAAAACATGGATTCTAGAAAAAGTAAGAAGATAAAACAACAGACTGAGTTTTTTTTTTAGAAAAAGCTAGAAGATCTAGAAAAAAAACACAAAATATGAAAACTGAAGAGTTTAAAATAGTATTAAGATCAACACTGTGGGAAAGAGAATCAGTGCTGTGGATGACAAATTTAAAAAATAGAAAATAGAATAAAATTACAAAACAATTAAAGTCATCAAAGAGAAATCAGAATATGAGTTGCATACACAAAGATTCAATATATTGATAAAATATATTTCTAAAGAGTTTCAAAGGGCAAATGAAGACAACCAACATAAAACAATAAACCAGAAGAAATCTTTTTGAATTTAAGGAAGACACAAATTTGCAGATTATTTTCCAGAGTGGGAAAAAATATAGCCAGGTGAAAGTATTGACTTTCACAAATGCAAATTCAAGCAAAGAAAACTAACCCAACAGATACTTTAATCCTGTTCAAACTCCTAGCAAGAAACTAGGAGACTATTTCTGATTTTCTGCGGGCTTTACCCATGAAGTGGTAATAGGATGTAGAGTTTATATGAATAAACAGCCAGCATGTAAATATATATGGCATTAGATATGCTTTTAAAATATATTTATTTTGTAAAACTGAAAAGGACCATTCATGAAATATTTTTTCATGAAAATATTTCACTCATGCTTACAACTGGATAGATATGAATCAAAGAAAAGCATAATGCATAAAATGTAGAGTATGAAAATTGGTCATTTAAAAAGCTGACTTACACAAACATGTTCTTCAACACATCTATCCTCTTGAAAATGCTCCAAGGGCACTCTATGCCACTAAAGCAATGCCACCACAGCACTTTGAGCATGTTCAGAAACATTGTGTCTGCAGCACCTAGTGATTAGATTTAAATCACAGGTACGTTAAAGTGGTCAGTGTTAAAATAAAAGACTATCACTCTAGTTTTAGGTAGGAAATCCGAGATCGATTGTACTGCAAAGTTTGAGTACAAAAGGGTTTCAAAATATTGGTTTGGAAATTGTTGCAGATAGGTGGGCCATTTTCCAAGAATTCCGTCATCAAATGAAGTGATGCTGTGTGTTGCTATTTCTAGTAGTTTGCTCTTAGGTCTTTAGGACCCCTGAGCCACAGGTAAGAAGTGCAGCTCCGCTCCTGCCCCCTGCTGTTTTCTCTCCCCACCTGGGTCACAGTCACATGAGTAAAGGTGCCATCTTGGATCTGCAGCCCCAGAAGACACCAGGGGAAGGAGAAGAACCACCTAGCTGTGCTCAGCCACATTGCAGGATCGTGAGAAATAATAAGGTGTTGTTGATTCAATCCACCGAAGCTTTGTACAGTTTGTTATTTGGGAATAGAGAGCTGAAAGATTCATATATTGTGTAACCCATAATCTGGAGTTTTATTGCATTAAGAGAGAATGCAAAAGAAACACAGATATTGAAATACAATAACCAGAGGAATAAGATTATAATAATTTTACCAATGCATTTTAATATAATCTTTACTAGTTTTTAAATTGCATTTAATTGATTAAAATTTTAAAATATCATATAAACATTAATTTAATATTTCAAAGAGAATGTGAAAAAATTACAGTATACTCACTGTATTTTTGTATTCAATTTTTTTTCAATTTATTCAGACAAAATCTTAATGTGCAACAAGAAATAACTGCAAGTAGCAGACTGAAGTCTCATTTTATATTACAATTTAAAATAATATGAAGTGATTAAAAAGTAAACCGACTAATTACACAAAGAACAAAATATAGATACTTTAAATAGCAGGAAAAAAATAGCAAGATTTATACATCTTAGTACCATAACTTGTACTTAAAGTTCATCTACATTTTAATATAGTTTGATACCAAATTAAACTAAGTGACAATTTTTAACCAAATTATTGAGAGTTCTTATGCACATAAGTAATTGAAAAAAATAAAATAAAATGTGTACTTGTTTAATGGCCAAAACAAAATGTCTTTAAGTTTTAGCCATTGTCAAAGACTATATAAGAATAAAAATTAGAATAAAATTTTAATGATATTCTGGATTAAAATATTATTTAAAGAAAATCACTTCTTTATTATGTAACAGATGAAATACTTTTTAAAAATTCCTGAGGGAATTCATTAGATACGTTACTGCAGAAGGAGTTTATAGACCCAAAATGTTTGAGAAGCCCTGGGCTAAAATTTTTAGTTAAAAATTCAAGCTTTTCTCATATTCATTTAGTGGGCAAATCTCCATTATTCCTCTTGCAACTATGTTTAAGAAACAGAAATATCACAGGGTAGATATTGGTGGGTAAGTAACAGGAAGCAACACCAGACGGAGTGCTTTTGATAAGACACCTGCCGGAGGCCAGCAGTCCGCACCCCCTAGCCACGTGCAGCTCTGCCGGCCGCCCCTGGCAGCTGCACAGTGCGGGCCCTTCCCAGGGCAGGCAAGCCCCAGCTCCTTAGCAAAAACATACCACACCCCCCGTTTCAAATAGGAGATATACTCACTATTAAATAAAAATCCAGTGAAAGAGACAGCAATGCCTTATTCCTCAGAAAAGCAATGAGACTTACAGGATCACAGGAGGGAATTCCTTAATGCTATCTTATGGGTCTCAAATACGTTTAGGTAAACATGCCTTTTCGAGGATCTGGACCGAACATAAAACACCATCACCCTTCTTTATATAGATGGCAAGGAAAAGAAAGAAAAAGGAAAAGAAAAAGAAAGGAGTAATGCAGAGAAAAAAAAAGTATGTTTAGCATGCAAGACTTTCCTTTGGGACAAAACTTCCTAACTTCATCCAAAAATCAGCACTACTGACTCTTTAAAAGGTCATGGAAGTGGGGAGAGGCCATGCTAAACAGGTGGTAAGGAAAACATGTTGCCACTTTTAAGGCTTCACCTAACATTGCACTGGAAAAAATAAAAATAAAAACAAGACTTTCAATAACATAAAAATCCTCTGGAACTGAATGTTTTAGAAAGAAAAGAGAATCCCTGATGGAACTGGAAGAGGGAGTCTTTCAACGCTAACAAAATCAGCTAATATCTCAAGGATGAAGTCAATAACTTCATTCTAATAAGACATTTGTCAGCCAAAGAAATCTGACCAAATTGCATCTCCCCTGCCTGCCTGCCATGAACTAATAGCTGAAGACCAATCCCCTGTCTGCGAGCTGCCCTCCTCACTCCTACAGAGCACCTCATTCAGGCGTGCTCAGTACCCTCAAAGCTCAGTGTGCCCCGTTTGGGTTTACCGTCTTTCTCAATTTACAATGCCAGCTTGTCTTTCTATTTCATTTGTACTCCAAGTTGGTAGGTATTTAATCTCTGGATCCAGATAAGAGGAGACAGAATATGAGGACCAGCTTTTAGTGGACTTGAATAGAAATCAGCTGACTTCTACTTTACCTAAAAACTCCACTTAAATATGAAGTTCAGAAAGGATCTTAAATACATAATCCATCTTATGAACCCTGCTTAGGACACTTCTATGTTTAGAAAGATTCCTTAGAATTTGGCACTTATATGGTGTGACTACGTGTGCTTTCCCTCAAGTCATGCATCAAATAGCATTATTTACATATTGAATTGGGGTCAACAAGTTGAATGTTTTGTTCCAAAAATGATGGGAAAAAGAATGCACCCCTCCTGACTCCCTATTTTGAAATGTTTACCCTTTCTGCATATCAAGACAAGAGCCACACAACAGAACACACTGGCTGAGTGTTCCCTGCTCTGTTTGGAATTCCCTGAACAAATCATACTGGTTTATAAAGGGGCAGTGATGTGTTCATCTCTGTGGAATTGTTTTCTGCCAGGCCAGACTCTCACGTAGCTCACGGTGGGGCTCCAGCAGGGTGATCTATGCACATTCAGTGCAATGCTTGTTTCCCTCAAATTCACTGGGATCTGCAGCCACAAATCATTTATTATCCTGAAGCCGTCTTTTTGGATGCATTATGTTGTGAGCTAACTAGGAAGAGCCCTTCCATTTCTATGGGCGAGCCGTGGACTGGTTCCCATTGTCAGAAGCTGCAGGGGATGAAAATACTTGGCATTGGCTCACACTCTGCTTGGGAAAGTGCTCAACATCCCAGCTCAGGAAACAATGCGAGAACAGTGAGCCATCATCTCAGCCACAAGATCTGCTCAGGTCCCCAAAGAGCCGAGAGTCTTACAGCACAGATGACAGAGTAGCCTGGGAAACGAGTTCCCAGGGAGCATTCATTTAGGAGAATTTCAATAGGGACCAAGATGGCTTGTTCCAATATGTGTAATTTTCTGTGTCTGCCATAACCCAAGTTCCCAGTCTACTAAAACTGTTTTCATACACATAGCATGGTCCAAAGAATTGATGTGTATGCAATTTTTTTTTACAAGAATAAAGCTAAACGCTTGAGAGAATGAGTTACTCGATAGGAATGCTCTTGGAGAACTTTTAATCCATCTGGATCATGGAATGCTACAAACGTGTGACAAATGTATGGAAGAACTTGAGAATGGTTTGTATTGTCAAAGGCATGCCTAATATCTAGGAAAGACTGAGGCATAGGCAGGTTTCAAAGACCTGAATTCAGTTACGACTGATAAACATGATCACTTAATACCAGAAAACAAAATGATCTCTGCATTTCCTACTTTATAATGAACGATTCCATTACTGCTAAAGTTATTTTTGTAGAATGCATCTGGAGTGCATCTTATCACAAAGTGAGTGTTTTTAACGGGGAACTGTGAAGGAGGCAGCCAGCAGAGCCTGAGGGGACTTCACGTGGACGCATGTGGACGGCTGTCCTGGGAGACTCTGTCCCGCAACTCAGTCTTGAATTTGCATAAACCCAGTTGCTCCCGTGGACCTGGTGGTTTATGTTTGTTTTCTGGGGATGCCATAACAAATTATCACCAACTTGGTGGTTTAAAATAACAGAAATGTATTCTGTCACAGTGCTGGAGGGTGAAGGCCAAAACCAAGGTGTCCTCAAGACTGAGCTCCCTCCAAGGCTTCAACAGAGGATCCTTGCTTTTCCCAGATCCTGGTGGCTCCAGGTGTTCCTTGACTTGCGGTAGGACAAGTCCAATCTCTGTCTTCACATGGAGCACTCCCTGTGTGGGTGTCTGTGCATAGGGGCATCTGTTGTATTGTATTAGAACACAACCCAGTGACCTCATCTTAAGTCATCACATCTGCAAAGACTTTATTTCCAAATGAGGTCACATTCTGAGGTCCCGGGCATTAGGATTCTGACATTTCTTTCTGGTGGTGGGTGCACAATTCCAACCGTAACACTATGAATGTCTGCTGTAGGAACTGCTCCTCAGTTACTGCCTCTGAAGTAACATAGTTAAGGGGAAATTACCCAATTATTGTACAGCTGCTATTTTCACATAATTATTAAGTCACCCCCCAACCTGAAGCCAAACTCAAACGGTGCAGGGCGGGCAGGAGGGCCCTCCAGGGTTTCTGCATCTCCATCCACATCCTCAGTTAACAGTGGCCTCCCACAACTCCTAGCTCACCCATCCACCTTGAAACCCCACATACAGGAAGTTTTTCCTTCCCCTGCACATGTGGCCATCATGGAGAAAATAGTGAGGGAAAATAACCTAAAATTAGGGGACAGAAGAGCTCAGCCAGGAGCACACACAGCATTTCTGTGAACAGCTCGCCTGGGTCCTGTTCCTCCATGCAAGTTGTCAGTAATAGGTAGTGGACACCCTCACCAGCCTCAAATTCTACAAAGATCCTATGCCTTGGGCCACCTTAACGTAATCAGTGTTATGTTTACATTACCACATACTGTCAATGTATGTTTTGGTGCTTGTGTAAGAATTATATTTTATCTCCCAGAAAACATGTATTCAATAGATAAATGGTTCTATGTTTGCAAGTCTCTCTCTTTTATGAAGTGAATGTTGAACAAGAAGGGTGCGTGCATTATTTCACTTGACTTTAGATGCTTTAAGTGCATGATATGTATTTGTCAAATATGACTACATTTTTAATGTAGACTAACATTTTTAATGCTTTTTTTTCTGTCTTCATACTTGACACACATTTCTGCTTGTGTGAAAACAGAAAAAAAAATTAGAAACTGATTCTGAGTTTGCTACAATTTCTCTTTCAGCACAGATTTACCAGGAATTAGACTTTATTTTAATATTTTTAAAATTACAGAATTATCTTGAATGCTGAGTTCCTGTCTGATATCGTTAGAGTAATTCGTGTTAATGTTTTTTGATGTTACATAATGCAACTCTTCCAATTAATCAATTTAAATGGTGGTGATTTCACCAGTGCTTTGATTTTAGAAGATAAGATTAAAAAATTCAATAAAAACTAAAAGCTACTGACCTGATATATAGGAGAGACATTTAGCTGCTTTTCTTCTGGTAGAGTATAAAAAGCTAAAGTTTCTATGTAATAAATCCTATGTGGAATTAATTTAGAAAAGAATGTGCTGCTTTGGGGACTCTTAGAATATTTAATTTATTTAAAATAATAAACATGAGATGGAGAGTCGTCCAGAGCGAAGGACGAATGGATTACTAAACATAGCCCTCAAATGTGGATCTAGCATGGCCGGCACTGGAGCCCCCTCTAGAAAAACCATCATTGCACTCAGGATGAAGGAGGAGGCGTTTCTTTCCAACCCACAGTGGCACTCTCAGTGCTTGGGAAGCTCACATACCTCTTTACCGTATTGCAGTATTTGAAATGTGGGGGCTCAGAGAGATCGTGCCTATTGTCTCTTGTGGCTTTAACGTGTGTCTTGTTTCGGGGACAGTGCAGTTGTCCCTCAGCACAGCCCTCAGAAGGTCAGGACACGCGCTCCTCTCCCCACAGGTTGATCGGGGTCCTACCCACTGCTTTAGCCCCATGTGCACATACTCTAGAAAACGGCGGCCCAGACACCCCAAGTGTAACTACACACAGAATGTTTTACTTGAACCAACATTTCAAAATAAACAAGCCAGTTATTCCCAGCATGGTTAGGCGTTGCTTAACGTTGTCCATTGGATCTTGGAAACTGCGACTTTAAGCAAAACAACATAGAATGAAACGAATTTTTCCATAGGCTAGGTGACATAAACAAGAGTTCAGTTTCTAAGATCATGTTTCTGGTCACAGAAACATCACCAAATGGCTAAGTAAAAGCCCCAAACACGTCTAATATTAAACATTGAAATAAATGTGAGCAATGCATACATTTAAGAAAGATTAATAAAAACAAGTGAGATCATTGTTTACATGCTTGTTCCAGTTCAGGGTCATGGGTGGCAGGAGCCCGTTCTGGCAGCTCAGGTACAAGGCTGACACCAGCCTGGACAGACGCCGTCCCGTGGCAGGGTCACCACCAGCACCGACACTCACTCACACTGGGGCCATGAGACTCCCATGAACGGAACCTGCACAGCTTTGGAATTAGAGAGGGAACCGAACGACTCAGAGAAAACCCATGCCGACCCAGGGAGAACCTGCAAACCACACACAGCGCCGGTCGGGGATGGATTTTGTTTCTTATCAATATTGTAAAGAAACCACGTTGAGCAGAACGGCATCACTGGAGGACCTGCTGTATATCCGCATGGTCTCTATCTGTTTCAAATGCCAGAGAACTGATCTCAGTGGCAACACAGTCTGCGCCTGGATTGCCATTACACAGTCCATCCGAACTGTGGGCAGGTTTGCCTGCTCTTTAGAAGTTGTTTTAACCCTCAAATCAATACTCCAGGCACCTTCCTGACACTTGGGGACATGTTCATGTGCAGAGTAGTGACAAATGTGAGTCACCTGACTGGCACGTCCCCAGACGAAGCCGAAGACCTCACTCTGACTTCCTGTTTCAGCTCATCCCATAAAGACAGGCCCTTTCTGCCATCTTTGGTGCATAATGTTTACATTTTTGTGTCAATGAATCAACAATATTCAATGAGGTACCCTTAAACAGAAACACACATAAATTGAGGTTATGTATTAATAGGTTGACAAACATGTTGTGACCAGAGAGTCACAGGCACTTACCCCTATGCTTCTCCGAGGAGCAGTGACTCAGGACGCACTGATTTGAGGTCCACAGTGGCCTTCTAGAGCATAAGTACCACAGAAAACGAGATGAAACCTATTTGTTCAGTGCCCTTCCTGTGTGTCACCCCCCTCCACAATGCCCTCCTCCATTCCTAAAAGAGCCCAGGTCTCCTTGGTTTAAAACAGTGTTGGACACACACCAGGTGTCAACGAACAGCGGGCTTACTGGTACCTTCACCAACTAAAATTCAGAAAACACTCCTAGAGACGATTTTACCATCTAAAACTGTATAAAGGGGATGGCAGGAGACATTCTGAAATTGGTTTTCTCTCTTATTTCCCCCAAAGTGTGAACTTGATTTTCAGCCTGTGAGGGAAGGCCTTGCTGCTGTTCCAGTCCCCCAGGGCACAGGTGAGCAGGTGCAGGGTCCCTCAAAGGCCAGCCATGTTTGAAAGGTCCAGCATTGCACCGAGGGCACAGTGCTTGGGGATGTGGGGCTCCATCGAAACACATTTCAGTGAATTCCTGAATTATTGTAAACTTGAGGTTTCTGTCACATTGAAATTTTAAAATCATTTTTATTATACAATCCTGAGGCCATTCAGAAAAGACAGAGCAATGCGTGACAGCACACCTGACATCTGTCCAGTAAATAATTTGAGTGGGAAGATTTATAGGAAAAAAACCCGCTCTTATATCACTGAAATAGTTTCTATGTATTGTCCTTGGTCTCTTTTCTTTACTTTTCCTTCTTAGATGGTGACGTCTTGGAAGTTTCTGGGGCACCTCTGGGCATGGTTCCTGAAGTGTCACCTGAGAAAGACAAGGGACACCTGCAGCTGCACAGTTCATCCGAGAAAGCAAATGTGCTCAAGCCATGAATGGTAAAGTGCAGAAAAGGGTAATGAAATACATGTGAGACCCATGCCCTTGATTCACCGTTCTCTGATCTAACATGGGCATCAGGCAGGCACACCAACCAAATGCGTCTGTCTGTCTCCACGCACACATTATGCAGCTCGTGCTGTTACAAGGTCAGCTTAATCCTGTGCTTCCCACACGGGAGTCCTTTTATTTCTTCTTTTTTTTCTTTTTTCTTCTCTCTTTTTTTTTTTTTTTTGGAGATGGAGTCTTACTCTGTGGCCCAGGCTGGAGTGCAATGGCGTGATCTCAGCTCATTGCAACCTCCGCCTCCTGGATTCAAGCAATTCTCCTGTCTTAGCTTCTTGAGTAACTGGGACTGCAGGTGCCCGCCACCACACCTGGCTAAGTTTTGTATTTTTAGTAGAGACAGGGTTTCACCATGTTGGCCAGGCTGGTCTCGAACTCCTGACCTCAGATGATCCAACCATCTCGGCCTCCCAAAGTGCTGGGATTACAGGCGTGAATCACCACACCCAGCTGAGTTCTTTCACTTCTCAATGCTAACCCTCAGCAAACCAACACTTAACTTTGGAGGAGAATACCTTGAAGGGTTTAAAGGGGAGAAATTGCTCCTTAACTTTTGGATGGGCAGGTTTCTTTGAGGATTGCCTGGGCTGTAGAGACCTGACTACCTCCCCAGAACACGGAACAAACTTTCAGATCGTCTCAGATGCACAAGTCCCTGTGGAGTTTGCCAAGACCTTCGCCGGGCTGCACGGCAACTCAGCCTCTCCCTGCCCAATGCTGTCCCTTCCCCTCCAGGCAACAGGCATGAACCCCACTGCACCCCTAGCTATCTCTCCTGTGTGCCAGTTTTTGAATCTACCATGCTGCTCTGCACACACATTTGCATACATCTGTCTCAACTCTGTCCCTAGTCCAGGAACCTGGAACATGCTCTTTCTATTATTATTATTATTTATTTATTTATTTATTTATTTATTTTGAGATGGAGTCTCGCACTGTTGCCCAGGCTGGAGTGCAGTGGCCTGATCTCGGCTCACTGCAAGCTCTGCCTCCCAGGTTCATGCCATTCTCCTGCCTCAGCCTCCCGAGTAGCCGGGACTACAGGTGCCCGCCACCGCGCCCGGCTAATTTTTTTGTATTTTTAGTAGAGACGGGGTTTCACCGTATTAGCCAGGATGGTCTCGATCTCCTGACCTCGTGATCCACCCGCCTCGGCCTCCCAAAGTGCTGGGATTACAGGTATGAGCCACTGCGCCTGGCCTGGAGCATGCTTTTTCTAAAATGAAGATCTGATTCAGGGCTCACAGTGACTCCACAGAGCATAAGTACCATGAATAATGAGAAGCAACTTAATTGTTCATTGTCAGGCCAATGCTGTATCTATAATGTAGATCTCATTTGTTTTTTCTTCTCCTTTCTTCAAATAAAAACTGTTGTGGAAGCACCGGTGTTTCTGCAGATTTTAGGTCAGTTGGTTGTCTGTCGTAAGACGTCAGTTCTGAGACGGGAACACTAAAATTATGTTTTGTGAGATTATCTAGCTTTTCCTTATTTATGAGTGGGAGCAACAATCCTTCCAGCTTTTTATCTCCCTGGCAGAAGCCAGAAGTCACCAATCCAATTTTAGAACAGTAAGATGACAGGGAGGGAGTGACTTGTTCTACCAGCTATCAAGGCACATCAACAAGCTACTAAGATAGCAACAATGACATTTCGCGGGCTAATAGACACATGAAAAGAAGGGACTAGAGAGGACAAGAGGACCCAAACATATCCAAAGCTGGGGTTGGAGGTAATCACCATTTCAAAGCACAAGAGGAACAGAAAGACTGGGTAGTGCACATCAGCAGAGGAAGCAGGGACAGCCAGCCATCCATCATCCTAAAGCCCACCTGTTTCATACCACAAATAAAATGGAAGGGAAGCACTGAGTCCCAGATCCGAAAAAACAAGCCTGAAATACATACAAGCAAATAAAACATTATCTTCACAGTCATAGATTGAAGAGATCTTTCAATCAAGTTCTAAAAAAAAAAAGAAAGATAAAAAATTATAACCACATCAAAATTAAAAATTCCTCTGTGACAAGACACCTTAAAGTCAAGGAACAGCTGGGGAGAGGTTAGGGATGTTTCAAGCGTAACAAAGAATGTGCCCTCAATTGACTAATAGCTTAGGAAATATACCTCTCACCATAAGTAGATGGGCACACGCCCATAGGAAAAACGGACAAAATACACTTTCTAACAAATTTGCAGAATAATAAGGCGCATACACCCAATGCACACATGACCAATGTAAATATAGAAGGAAATCCAGCCTCATTAGCAAGCAGAGAAGCATTAACTATAATGAGGAAGGGTGCATTTCCCCTCATCATATTGCAATAGAGGAGTCACGTTGACACCACTGTGCGTTACAGGAAGTAGCTGCTCCCACGGTGCGGCTGGGAGGACAGGTTTCACAACCACAGGGCATGTGGGTCTGCACCCCTGCCCATCAGAACCACTCACCACTGTCCTTTGCCAATTGATGAGTGTTTTGCTCCTTCCCACTGGTGTTGGACCGGGCCATGTATCTTATCTCCTGATTGGAATCAGGCTCAAGTCACAGGGACATTGACAGTCTCCCTGCCCCTCTGCCACGTGTAGGAGAGTCCACAAGAACAGCCTGTTATGTGGCCATGACCAGTGAATTCTGAACCACAAAGTGTAGACGCTGAAGCAAATCTGAATCCATCCATGCACAGCCAAGACTCCTCACTGCTGCCAACCTGCAGATGCGCCAGCATGGCAATTCACGTGTGCTCTTATAAGTGTCTCATGCTTTGAGGTTGTCTGTTACCAATAATATTGAAGCATAAACACAAATCCAGCCACCTTGGAAATACTCTGGCAGTTTCTACTAAAATTACAGTTGTACATTCCCTATAATCCATCAATTCTGCTTTGGCTATATTACAGAAATATTCAAATCTGTATTATCTGAAAAAATATATATGAAGTGATTGAATAATCATTTTGGGAGAAGGGTGAATAGAGGGTGATATATTCATAAGATAAAAGAAGACATAAGATTCATATGTTACAAATATGGAAAGATCTTTAAAAGCATACCATTGTATGCAAAAGCAAACTGCAGTCATAAATATAGTGTAACGCTGTTTATGTTCAAAAACACAAATCAGGCTGGGCGTGGTGGCTCATGCCTGTAATCCCAGCACTTTGGGAGGCCGAGGCAGGATGATCAGGAGGTCAAGAGATTGAGACCATCTTGGCCAACATGGTGAAACCGTGTCTCTACTAAAAATACAAAATTTGGCTGGGCGTGGTGGCGCGTGCCTGTCATTCCAGCTACTCGGGTCGCTGAGGCAGGAGAATCACTTGAACTCAGGAAGTGGAGGTTGTAGTGAGCCGAGATGATGCCACTGCACTCCAGTCTGGAAAAAGAGCGAGACTCCGTCCAAAAAAAAAAAAAAAGAAAAAGAAAAAAAAAAAAAAACACAAATCAATGCTCTCAATTTTTCATGAATGTGTATATAAAAGCATTAAAAATGGTGTGGCTACCTGTAATGGTAGATACATTTGGAAACAGGTAGAGTGAACCAGATTTTTGGGAGTGATCAAAGAGTATTTAAAGTACCTCTATTGTCCCAATTTCTCCAAAAGTAATAATATTTATATATTATTATAAGTATATACATTGAATATATGTGGAAAAGTTTGAAAGTGAATTTGTCCAAAATTATAACTGTTTAATTTTCTGAGGTAGAAATTCAGATAGATAGATTGATAGACAGATAGAAGATAGATAGGTGATAGATAGATAGATACATAGAAGAAAGATTAGATAGATAGATAGATAGATGATAGATAGATAGATAGATAGATAGATAGATAGATAGATGATAGATAGATAGACAGATAGACAGATAGGTAGTTCTGGCATCCTGAATCACTAGACATTTCTTCCACAACATAGCATGCTTTGAAGTAAGGAAATGAAAAGACTGTATGTCAAGAATTATTTGCTCACATGAAGGCAGCATGGCTGTGGCATTAGCATGGATGCTTGCGGATGGAACAATGCAGAAGAGAGTAAGAGAAGGGAGACCCGGGAAGGAGAAGAAATGTTGTTGGAGAAATGTTCTTGACAAGGAGAGAGGGGCGAGGTCTAGGGCACAGACAGAGTTTGCCGCCCATGAAGGACAGACCCACTGCTCTTCATGACATCAAAGAAAGGGAAACGGGATGGAAGGGCCACTCTCCAAGACAATCCTCTTTCCAGTGAGTACCAAGCCACAGATAAGATGATTAAGTATTTAACACTGTCATTCTGTATACAGGTAAGAAGGGCATGAAAGTGCCTGAGAAAGAGCCACCAGCTCCCCATCCGTCTGAGCCCAACAGCCCCAAAACCCCAACGCTGGCTTCTCCTGATCCCTCTGCTGCCTGCAGAAGCTCTTCCATTATAATTATTACTATTATTGTTAATAGTATTATACATTAAATTACAATACACATTCTAATTGTACTGCAATTTATTATAAATATATGTTAATAGCTGTTAAATAATACTATTTAAAACTATTTCTAGGCCAGGCATGGTGGCTTATGCCTGTAATTCCAGCACTTTGGGAGGCCAAGCCAGGTGGATCACAAGGTCAGGAGTTCGAGACCAGCCTGACCAACATGGTGAAACCCTGTCTCTACTAAAAATACAGAAATTAGCCAGGCATGGTGGCATGTGCCTGTAATCCCAGCTACTCAGGAGGCGAAGGCAGGAGAATCACTTGAACCCAGGAGGCAGAGGTTGCAGTGAGCCGAGATCGTGCTACTGTACTTCAGCCTGGGACACAGAGCAAGACTCCATTTCAAAAAAAACAAAAACAAAACAAAACAAAAACAAAACTATTTCTAGTTTCCTAACATTTACTCTAGAAAAATATGGTGATGGGCTCTTACAGGTCTAACAGGCAGATCCTTCCTCCTGCCCAGTGTCTATGATATAGATTAAAGCCAAATTATTAATTCATCCACTTCAGTTATAAATTACAAACATTCAGCTTTATTGTTTTCTGTTGCACATTAAACTTTTATCACCAGCATATTAGAATAAAAGGTTCTTAGGGAAGAGGATAATATCCCATACGGTTTACCCCATTGCCAAAGTCACAAATAGGAACTTTTTGAACATTTAATAAATATGTTTTTTTACTCTGTGATACTTTTATGCTCAATAGGAGGGGAAAAGCTCAATGGAATTAGTTAAGCATTTTATATGGTTTCATCTCAAATGACTTAGTCATTTCTGCATGTCATTGGTTTCGATTCCTTCCAAGATCCATACTGCTTAATAGATTGTGAAAGGAGACAGATTAGAAAATATCACACGTGGTAATATTTATGCTGTAGGGATAAAATATTATATATTATTTGTAAATCTGAACTGTTTCAACCCAGATTCAGATTCAAGTCTCTGTAGATAAGCCTGTCTCTGTGCTCAGTGTTCTCCCATGAAGGAAGCACTTTATAAAGATCTAGTCACACTCTGGAGACCTCTCATTCACAGTCCATTAAAGACAACCAAAAAGTGTATCCAGGCAGACTTCAGAGTGTCTGTTTGCATGATGACAAATTTCCAGTTTAAAAAACAATTTTTATTTCATCTGCTATGAACTAAATTATGCCCCCTCCCACCATTCATATGTTGAAATCCTAACTCCAGATGTGAGGATATTTGGATATGGAGCCTTTGGGAGGTGATTAGACAAAGATGAGGTCATGAAGGTGTAGCCTTTATGATGCGATTTGTGTCCTTGTCAGAAGAGACATGAGAGAGCTGTCTCTCTGATTAGTGCTCTCTCTCTCTCTTTGTCTCTTTCTGGCTGGCTCTCTGGCTCTCTGTTTCTCAGCCACATGAGGACGTGAGGAAAGGACAGCATCTACAAGCCAGGAAGGACATTCGTGTTGAGAAACAAATGACCTGGAAGGTGATTCAGAGATCATCAGGGCACCTGGCTCAGTGCTTTCACCTGTAGCTGTGGGTGTGGGATTCCCCAGCAGAGCCTTGGGGGCAGGACCTCACCTGCAGTGCTAGTGGACCTAGAGGACAGAATATTGAACCAGGGAGGATCACCCTCAAGTCTTAAAATCTGACAGAATTTGCCTTATTGTTTTAGACTTGCCTGGGACCCATCGCTCCTTCCTTCTTTCCTACTCTCATTTGGAATGAAAATACCTAGCCTATGCCTGGCTCATCATTGTATTTTGGAAGCACATAATGTGTAAGGTTTCACATGTTCACAGCTGGAGAGAAAGTTTTCTATAGAATGAATTGTATGTGGAGTCTCACCCATACGATTTAGGTATTTAGATGGACCTTAGACTTTAGAGTTGACGCTAGAACATGTTAAAACCTTGGGGTCTGTTGAAATGGAATGAATGTATGGTGCAGATGAGAAGGACATGCATTTTGGTGGACCAAGGGTCAAATGCTATGGGCAGAATTGCTTTCCACCCAAACATATATGTTGAAGTCCTAACTACAAATGTGATGGTATTTGGAGATTGGGCCTTTGGGAGGTAATTAATATTAGATAAGGTCCTGAGAGTGCGGTCTTCTTGACGGAACTGGTGTCCTTACTTGAAGAGACCAGAGAGCTTTTTTGCTGTCTCTCTCCATCATGTGAAGACACAGCCAAAAATTGACTGTCTGAAAGCCAGAAAGAGAACCCTCCCCAGCAGCCAACTATGCTGAGCCCCTGATCTGGGACTTCCAGCCTCTAATATTTTTGTTAGATTTTTGTTGTTTCACTCACCTGGTCTATAGCATTTTGTTATGGAAATCTGGGCATACTAGGACACCTTCATATGGCCAGCAATATGGAGTTCATCACATTTTAGATGTTAGCCATTCTGAGACATCGGGACTCTGGAGATTCACGAAGCATCACGGCAGTGACAATGTGGCGTTTTTTATTGCTGTTGTTGTTTTGTTTTGTTTTTAAAAGAAAACATTATTTTGAGGGACTGGAACAACAGTTTTAACTTTAATTTGGATAGTAGACATAGTCCAACCTTCCCCTTACCCAAACATTCCAGAAGCTTATTTTGAATAAAGTCAATTATTCAAAGATGACTGACTGTTTTCCTACTAACTTTATCAATCTAGGATCGGGGGTGAAATTTCTGAAAGTGTTTTTTTCCCACTGAAAAGATAACATTTCATCCAAATAAAACATATGGTTTAATGACAGCTTGAACCTTAAAACATTTCTATTTTAATTTTAAAAAGTGTCAAAAATGTCACGGTGCTGTAATGAAATAAAAGGCAGTGAAGATCTTTTTCCCATGGTCTTACAGTGATGAAACCATATGTGAAGCCTCCTTTCCATCCGATGCCGGGGCTAGTAAAAGATCTGCTCTTGATCATCAGGTTTTACACATGAAAGACTTCGACTCTCTCCATGCCCAAGATGAGCACAGAATACTAATTTGGATCCACATGAGACACTATAGAAATAAATCCTTCATTTTAAACTGTTGGTAACCCATTTTTCTAGGGCTCTATCTAGGGCTCTATAATTACTACTAAATCTACTGAGAAAGTACCCTATGTGGCTATTGTTAAAAAGCCTCAAGGGTGTGCATGATAATCTGCATTTACTAGAGGAACCTTCTCTGCCTTAATAACAACACATTTCATCAAATGCTGATTTCAGAGCATCTGCTACCGTACCATTAGAGAGAAAGATCTGGGCCCATTGTCTGAGTGCAGCAGGCCTGGGCATGTTGCATGTCTCCCCAACTTTATGATAACTTAGCCCAGCTCAGGTAAAGGTCAGGAGGAGTAAATGAAAATTGCCTGGGGATGGACCCTGCAGCACTGAACAATGCACACACCATAAAGCCACTCCTGGGTTTCCCTGACCATTCTGTGTGTGACCCAGCATGTGCTAGGCCCTCAATTTAGAGCTGTAGGGTATGGGACATTCTGCCAGGAGCAACCACTAGAGGATGTGGATTTGGTTTGCAGTTCAGGGACTGCATTTGGAAAATTCTTTCTCAGGACAGCAGAACTTGATGAAGCCCAGATCAAACTCATTACCTTCTTTGCCAGTGGTCTCCTTGACTTCTCCGTTAGTTAAAAGCATGGTAATCAGCAGTGACTCAAGATGAGAGTCCATCCTCCTCTGCCTCCTCTCTCTCCCTCATGTTCCCATTCCACTGGGATCACAGCCTCCCTCTCACTGCCATACCATCCCACAGCACCTCTCCAGCCTCACCCACTCCCATCCTGCCTCCCCACAGCCCTGCCAGCCCTCCTCAGCTCCCCCTGCCAGCCCTTCCAGACGAGCCCTCCTCATGCCAGGCCAAACACCTCTCCTCCTCTTCTCCCTGGTCCCACCCCACAGCAAAGCCTTCTACAGTCTGGCATGTCTGGGTTTTCTCCCACCACAGATGGCACATATTCTGTGCTCCAGCCAGATTGGAATTTTACTAATAATGATCATAACTAACCTTCATGGAGGACCTACTGAGGGCAGGTGCTTTTCAAACATTTCATATGCACCATCTCATCTAATGGTAGATTCAAACAATCCCATGAGGTAGGCCCTTTACAACAGACTGGTGAGAGAACAGAGGCCCTAGAACTAAATACTCACATTGTGTTGCTCATTTTGTAAAGGTGACTCAGAGTACTCATCCACAGTTCCCCCTCCCTCTCTTTTCCTGGTGAAATCTTCATTGCCTGTATTTATTGAAACGGATGGGCAGAGCTCTATGGCACAGGGGCCATGAGGCAGATCTTGGTGTATAAGGGCAGGAGCACGTGACAGCATCCCCACACCATCTGGCTCTGCTTCCAATAGCTACTCCCCAGAACATGCTCTCCTGTCTCTACTCTCATACCTTTGTGGGGTTTTTGTTTTGTTTTATTTTTTTGGTTGGTTATGCTTACACTTTATTTATTGCAGCAGTAATAATTTCACAGCAAAATTGAAAATATAGAGATTTTCCATATACCTCCTACCCCCCTGATATGGTTTGGCTGTGTCCCTGTCCAAATCTCATCTTGAATTTTAGCTCCCATAATTCCCACATATCATTGGAGGAACCTGGTGTAAGGTTCACGGGGGTGGGTTTTCCCATGCTGTTCCTGTGATAGTGAATAAGTCTCAGGAGATCTGATGGTTTTATAAAGGGCAGTTCCCCTGCACACACTCTCTTGCCTGCTGCCATGTAAAACATGCCTTTGCTCTTCCTTTGCCTTCCACCATGATTTTAAGGCCTCCCCAGCCATGTGGGACTGTGAGTCCATTAAACCTCTTTATATATATAAAAATTACCCAGTCTTGGGTATTTCTTCATAGCAGTATGAAAATGAACTAATACACCCCCACATGCACAGCCTCCCCCATTATGAGCATCCCCCACCAGAGTGGTTCATTAGTTACAATCAATGAACCCATATTGTTACATCAGTCACCTAGAGTCCACAGCTACATCAGGGCTCACTCTTGGTGGTGTATATACTATGGATTTTGATAAATATATCATGACATGTATTCATCATTATCAATTCATGCAGAATAATTTCACTGCCCTAAAAATCACCTGAGCTCCCCCAACTCATCCCTCCCTTCCCCCAACCCCTGACAACCACTGACCTTGCTACTGTCTCCATAGTTTCATCTTTTCCAGGACGTGATATAATTGGAACCATACAGTAGGTAGCCTTTTTGGATTGATGATTTTTCACTTAAGTAATATGTTTTTAAGTTTCCTTATGTCTTTTTGTGGCTTGATTGCTCATTTTTTCAAGTGCTGACCAAAGTTCCATTGTCTGGATATACCCAAGTTTATGTATTCACTTACCTACTGGAGACATCTTGATTGTTTTCAAGTTTGGGCAATTGTGAATAAAGCTACTGTAAACATTTGTGTGCAGGTTTTTGTGTGGACATGTTTTCAACTCCTTTGGGTAAATACCAAGGAGCATGACTGATGGATCGTGAGGTAATAGTATGTTTGATTTTATAAAGAACTGCCAATCTGTCCTCCCAAGTGGCTGTACCATTTTGCATTCCCACCAGCAATGAATGAGAGTTCCTGCAGTTCCACACCTGCTGTGAGTGTTCTGGGTTTTGGTTGTACATTGGTCTGAAGTAGTGTCTTGCTGTTGTTGTTTTAATTTGCATTTTTCTAATAACCTAGGAGGTAGAGCATCACTGTATAAGCTTATTTGCCATCTGTATATCTTCCATATTTTATTTTCTGACTATATTCATGTGGGCTCTCTATTCTGCTCTATTAATCTATTTATTTATTATTTTACCAATACCACATTGTCTTGAAGTCATGTAATGTCAGTCCTCCAGCTTTGCTTTTCTTCTTCAATACTGGATTGGCTATTCTTAATCTTTTGTCTCTTCAAATAAACTTTAAAATCAGTTTTTGATATCTACACAGTAACTTACTAAAATTTTGATCAGTGTTTAATTGAATCTATAAATCAAACTGGGAAGAACTGATCTGTTGAGTTTTTCTATTCATAAACATAGAATACCTCCCTATTTAATTTATTTAGTTCCTTTTGTTTGTTTGTTTGTTTCATTTTTTGTTTTTTCTTTTGAGATGGAGTCTTGTTCTTGTTGCCCAGGCTGAAGTGCAATGGCGCGATCTCGGCTCACTGCAACCTCCGCCTCCTGGGTTCAAACTATTCTCTTGCCTCAGTCTCCTGAGTAACTGGGATTACAGGTGCCCACCACCACGCCTGGCTAATTTTTGTACTTTTAGTAGAGACGGTGTTTTGCCATGTTTGCCAGGCTGGTCTCGAACTCCTGACCTCAGGTGATCTGCCCGCCTCAGCCTCCCAAAGTGTATTTAGTTCTTAATTAATGTCTTTGATGAGAGTTTGTAGTTTTTCTTATATAGATCTTGTACCTATTGTGTTAGAGTTTTACCTAAGTATTTTATTTGGGGAGGTGCTAATGTAAATGGTATTGTGTTTTTAATTTCAAATTCTACTTGTTCATTGCTATACATCTTAGTGGGGTTTTTTTGTCTTTATCAATAAACCGTGATCTCAAAAGTGGGGTGTTCAAGCACTATGGGACACTCATGAGATTAAAGCAGCAGAGTAGAAAGAGAATACGATCACTTTCAATTGTATTCATTTTCACTTTTTTTATTTAGGATAGATAGATAGTCACATCTCATGTATTATGCAGAAACACATAAACACACATACACATCCATGGGGATTCTAAATTTTTCTACTAATGCAGATGTGGGACCAAAAGTGTTTAGAGGACACTAGCCTAAGACAAGTCTTGAATGTTTTCCCTGATGAAGTTTTTGTTTTCTACTAAGATTCATCCTAATGTTCATATGCCTTGCCTATCCACCTAGATAAATGTGAGTGTTCCTTCTATAGGATTTTGCTTATTCTGGTGGATTGTGATGATATTTTGGTTTGCGTGTATGAACTTGTCATGGTCTTCCAGTCCTACTGTTGCAGACTGTCTGGACGTTTAGGGAACAGGCTCTCTGGCCTCTGCTCACAGCTGATGTCCATCCCCAGGCCACCCTGTGGGTAGGTGTGTCCATGAGCACTGCCTGGTGGAATGTGGGCAGATACGATGTGTACTGCAGCCATGCTCAATCCAGGGAAAGTTCCCACATTAACTCCCACACTCACTCTTCACTTTCTTCTGGTTAAATGCAAAGTATGAAAGCCCATCTAAGGCCTTGAGAAGTGGTAGAGCCACCGGATAAAGAGTAGCTGCCACCTGCCTTCTCTCCAGTGACCTTCCCTGGACTATGTCTTGAGGAAGAAGAAAAAAACTTTTTTTTGCCTGCATTAGTGACTGAGATATTTATTTCACCAGATGACTTATGTTAATCCATGTTCCCATTGTGAGATTCCCATTGTGACCTCAGCTTTCCCCTTCAGATCCACTCTGCCCTTTTTCACTTTCCCTGTCTGGACTAGCTTCTAGTTGGCTCAGGTCAATAGGGAGATCAGGCAGAGAACTGAAAGGAAGTGAAATCACGATATTTATTCTGCCAGTTGCATTTCCTGAGAGCTGGCTTCAGGGCTCTACTGAAGAGGTCTGTTGGATATTCCTCCCCACACATGCTCCAAGGTCTAGCCGGCTTTACCTCCCTGTGCTGGTTCCAGCCCAAAGTGGAGGAGGAGGAAGAGCTCCCTCTCCGCTTCCCATCAACGGCTCCCAGTGCCCCCACCCCTCTGATTTTCTGTACTCTACCCACAGTTTCATCAAGAGTCATTTTCTACATCACCCTGAATTTACCCAACTTGTAGGTGCCACCTGCTTCCTGCTGAGACCTTAATAACACACCCGCCCAAGGAAAAACTTGTGAAGGATGTGTATATTGTATCATACTCCTCCTTTCTCTCCTCAGTAAGCGCTTGCAGAATTGGAATATGGCTACGTATTCTCTATGGGCAGGGATAAATTAAACGCTGTAACTATTTTACCCAAAGTAAATGATATAGCCATTGATCCTTTTTGACATGATAAAGCATCTATATTTCACAAAATCTTTGACCTCATTTGAAAACTGGAGCCTATTGTCATGATCAGTACCAGAAGCCTCTATAAGCATAATAGTCTGTCTTAATAAGAGATATATTTGTACTATTTTAAGTTTAAACAACATTCATTCCAATCCATGTATACCATTTGACTACCCATTGAAGAGATTAAAATTTCCTTTCATTTCAAAATATTCCTAGAAACAAAATCCTGAGGTTACAAGGAGGCCTTATAACCAGGATGAAGCTTAGAAAACCTTCACATACTATTTCATTAGCAATTGGTGAACGGAAATCAAACTCCTGCCATAAAGTGTTCTCAGATTATTAATTTTTTCTGACTATGAATGGAAATCAAACTCCTGACATAAAGTGTTCTCAGATTATTAATTTTTTCTGACTATGAATGGAAATCAAACTCCTGACATAAAGTGCTCTCAGATTATTAATTTTTTATGACTATAAACATTGTTTAATGTTTAGAAATATAGAACATTTTAAGATAAATATTAATCTATAGCCTCGCTACCCAGAAGTTATTATTAACATTTCAAGAGGTATTTTCTTATCTTTCCATTTATGTAAAATATATTTTCAAAATAGATTTCAAGTCATACTCTGCATGGGTATTATTTTTTAATTAGATATTGTATTGTGGTCCTATTACCATAATATTAAAATTATTGAAAGCTCTCCTTTAAAAGGCTTCATAACATTCCATATTATGGATCTAAGACAAATTTATGTAACTATTAGTACAGCATTGGTTGTCTCTTTGTAACAGCAGCCCTCAACCTTGTGGACACCAGAGACTGGTTTTGTGGAAGACAATTTTTCCATGAACCAGGGGTTGGGGGTAGTGGGTGGGGAATAGTTTCAGGATGATTCAAGTGCATTATATTTATCGTGCACTTTATTTCTATTATTCTTGCATTATAATATATAATGAAATAATTATACAACTCACCATCATGTAGACTCAGTGGGAGCCCAGAGCTCATTTTCCTGCAACTAGATAGTCCCAACTAGGAGTGATGGGAGGCAGTGACAGATCATCAGTCATTAGATTCTCCTAAGGAGTGGGCAACCTAGATCCCCCACATGCACAGTTCATAATAGGGTTTACTCTTCTATGAGAATCTAATGCTGCCACTGTTCTAACAGGAGGTGGAGCTCAGGCAGTAATGCGGGTGATGGGGAGCAGCTGTAAATACAGATGAAGTTTCTGTCACTCACCCACAGTTCACCTCCTGCTATGCAGACCAGTTCCTGACAGGCCAGGAACTAGTACCAGTCCATGATCTGGGGGTTTGGGGTCCCTATCTATAATAAAAGAATCTTAGCTATCTTAATTTTTAATTCTAGTTTTTTAGAAATTAAATTTCGGAATATTTATTTATAACGTGTATCACAAACATTCTCCCCAGTAAGGAACTGAAACCATCTACATAAAAACGTATGCACAATGAGTTAAAACAAAGATGAAAATAGATCGGAATCCACATAACTGTTCTAAGAACCATGACTGTGATCAGTGGTTGTTTTAGATCCAAACTCACTTATTACATGGATTCTAAAAGATAAGCATGAACAATATAAACAGGCAATATTTTCAACTTAGTCTTGCAGGAGATGTAGAATCTGTGATAAAACAAAGACAGACTCACCATTAAGTCAAATCCACAGTTGTCTGTTAAAATGTCAGCATCAGACTTTGCTAGGGTGACACCTACCATTCAATGACAAGCCAGAGTGTCAGAGCTCAACTTTTTTCTAGGACTTCAAATCCCTGGGAACACTGTGAATCCAGAAATGTAAGTCCAAAGATAAGTAGTGCTTGAATGTTAATTATAGTGATGTTATTTAATTCCTTTTGTAAATTTATGAACTCTGTAAAGTGCTAACATAAACCGATGTTCAATCACAGGTAAAATCTCCCTTTAACTCTATACTGAACTTCCCATGTTTCAGAAAATGAAGTGAATTAAGAATCCACCTTTAGCTCATGCATCGATCCGCTACCAAAGTTAATGGGTGAAATGGTCAGAAAAGTTTGCTGGGGACCAAGCCACAAGGAAACCATGAACACTAGAAGCCAGCCTGCAGATGCTGCTGGCCTCAGCCACTATCTGGGCTATCAGGGCAGCCTCAGAAAGGCACTGGTCTCCCGGGTTCCCACCTCCAACAGCTAGAAGAGGGGGTGATGGTAAGAACTGAGCTCTCGTTGCGCAAAAGCATGATTTGAATTTCTGCGTTGGTAGGTGGAAACCTTTGATAAAATGCCATGTGCGAACACGACAGTGAACCTTGCTTGAGAAATGGAACAACTCATCCTAAGCACCCATCGTTGCAGGATTCGGGGGTACCTGAATGTTACCCTCTATGCTTTGTCTGTTTTGTCCTAAAGATTTATTTCCATTTTACTTGGTTAAATGATCTGGTACTCATGACATGTTCTGCTGTTACTTTTATCTTATTATTATTATTTATTCATTTTTTTTTTTTTGAGATGGAGTCTTGCTCTGTCGCTCACCCTAGAGTGCAGTGGCGCGATCTCAGTTCACTGCAACCTCCACTTCCCAGGTTCAAGCGATTCTCCTGCCTCAGCCTTCTGAGTAGCTGGGACTACAAGTGTGTGCCACCATGCCTGGCTAATTTTTTTGTATTTTTAGTAGAGATGGGTTTTCACCGTGTTAGCCAAGATGGTCTCGATCTCCTGACCTCATGATCTGCCCTCCTCAGCCTCCCAAAGTGCTGGGATTACAAGCATGAGCCACCGTGCCCGGCCTGTTACTTTTATTTTAAAGCAAACTTTGAATTTTTTCAAAAATAGAAATTATGATTAAAACCTCATTTAGGAATAATAGAACTCCTCTGCAATAGAGTGAGAACACTAGTCTGAGGAATTTAAGCAAAGTAACGTTTAAGCGAATTCTGTCCGTGTGCCACTCCATGGTCGTTCTACACTATACATTTCAGCTCAGTTTGCCACACTCGTCGACGGCAGGCGCCAAGCTGATGAAGACGAGCTGCACAACTCTGCCAGTTGTAAAAATCAGGATGAGATCTTCTTTCTCTAAATAGAGAGACTGTAAAATAGGCTAATAAGAAACAATCACCTGGTAATAGAAAAAAATACAAAATTGCAACAGGCAACAATGAACCTTACTGGAAATGTTGGGATAATATTCTTGTTAGGCCTTAAGAAAGATTATGCAAAGGAATATAATTTCCCTAAGTTTGCTGCTTGCTTTACTTACTATGTCTGTGAAAATAGTGCTTATGGAAATACTGTTGGCAGTTTCCTGAGAATATTGATTTATGCTTCATATCAATAACCAGAGAGTGAATGTGGCACCATTAAGACTCAGGCAGGCCAAATAAAATTTGACAGGCAAAATGACTTTTGAAAATCAGAGATGAATTTTATTTTCTTTCTTTTTTTTGACACTGTAGACAAAAGCTCACAAACACACACATATGCACACACATGCAATTCCAAACGTCTGTACCTCCACAATGACATTTTAGGATTACAAATTGGATTGTCAAAATTATTTCATCAAGATGCAGAACTAAATTCTGTAATCACATCAGCAACCAAATGTAGAGTTTGTTTTTTATTATGGATGTTTTATGTGTTAGTTTCCCTTAAAAATACAAGTTCTTGCATTGCTCAATTATCATATGATCCAAGTTGAAACTTTACTAATGTAATATTTGTCAAAAAGAAAACTAAAGAAGTCACCAAAATGTGACAGGGTTTCAGAAGCAGGTGACCTTCACAGAATCAGATAGGTGTGCAGGCTCATGGGAGAAACTGCAAATTTGTTTTTGGAATAGAGATAGGGCTTTTCCCTTATAACTAGGGTTCTTCCATTTCATATATCTAATTTAATTGCTTCTTTTTTTTTTTTTTTTTTGAGACAGAGTCTTGCTTTGTCGCCCAGGCTGGAGTGCAGTGGCTTGATCTCGGCTCACTGCAAGCTCCGACTCCCGGGTTCCTGCCGTCCTCCTGCCTCAGCCTCCCGAGTAGCTGGGACTACAGGCGCCCGCCACCATGCCCAGCTAATTTTTTGTACTTTTAGTAGAGACGTGGTTTCACTGTGTTAGCCAGGATGGTCTCGATCTCCTGACCTTGTGATCTGCCCACCTCGGCCTCCCAAAGTGCAATTTAATTGCTTCTTAAGAAAGACTTTCTGATTTGACTTTTCCTCCTTGTGTATGTATTTAAGACAACAGCTACTATGAAGACCAAATGAAAATATTAGCTTACGTATAGAATTATCTCTCTTTTATATGTATTTACTTTAAATTGTTCTCTGAATAAATTGCTGCTGAAGTTTAGTTGGGCAGAAATGTTCCAAGTGTCAAGGTTATGTGGCTATCTGTATTTCAATAATCGCTGTGATGTTAGTTAAGTCCATTTTCTCACTATTCAACTGCCGGAGCTGGCCATGTCATAGGCCAGAGCCTCATAAAAATCTCATAAGGATGCAAATTTTTTCAACTGCTTTGAGGAATATACTAGATGCTTCATCCAAGGGCATAAAGGAATCGTTCACTTGATTACTCAGGAAAGACATATAAGTGATAGAGTTCTCAGATTCTAGTTAGGTCCAGGTTTGTTTTCATTATTTCCACAAAGGAAAGCCTTTTGTAGAACATAATCAACACTTTTAGGATTGCTATGCCCATTTATTCAGTTATAGTTTCACAGGACAAAAATTTACTAACAGATTGAAATGCTGTGGTTTTCCAAACGTTATCTTTTTTAAATGGGCTAAAATTACCTTTAATATTTAACAAATTAATAATAGCACCTATGTCCACACTCCTAAGGAAAAATAATTCTGGCACTAAAGATTGCTAAACCATGAAATTCAGAACAAGAAAACCACTTATTGATAACATTGGATTTAGTAGAAAAATAAAATAAAACAACTAATTTCCAGCCATGTTTCCATTCTAACATTGAGAAGATTAAGTACTGGCATGATTGTCCAGTGATACAGTTTCATATTTCTATTTCCTCTCCTTAACTGAAGTAATTCAAGTTTCATTCCTAAAGGATTCCCTTGGCATGCATGATGAATGTGACAGCAAACCTCAGTTTGGAACTTATTGCTAGGTTGTTAGCAATTATTTGTTATTTTTAAGGTTTTCTTGATTCTAAGGGGCTTTAAAAGCAAAAAGATTAGATCTATTCATCACAAAATGTGAAAGCTAACCTCCAAAATGTCTATACGACTCAACTGTGGTTAGAACAACAAAGAAAGGACAGATAGGGCCACTCCTTGGGAAACAGAATGGTGACTGCAAACTCCTACACAACCAGCTTCCCCTAGAAATCCATTTTTTCTAAGAAAAGTTATAGTGTTCAATGTAGGAATAGCAGTATAAAGAAAAGTGTTTGAGGAAAAATTAAATGTGTTAGCCAATCTAAGATGATTTCCAGGAAAATGAGTTGTAAGCAGTGTTTAAATTTTGTTTTGTTTTCTTGTTTTTTTCAAAGACATAATTGCAGTCACAGATTTTCTAAAATATTTGAGAAGTCATGGAGAAAGTAAAACAGCCACATCAACAGAGACATAAAATATTGGCCCAGTTTCAAAAAGGAGAAAAAGAGGGCACACTAAAATTTACATAGTGGTGTGTTCATTATAAATGGGACAGAATTATAAAATGTGAAATATCAGTTAGTCTACGTTTCTTCAAATACATGTTGTTTATACCATATGGGTTAGTAAATAAGAAATCAGTTGAAACAAACCTAATTTGAAGTCTTATTTCCAATGTGACAGATCACAGAAAAACCACACAAATAGTGATTTCAAAAACTACTGAAAAGTGCTCAGAGGGCATACTTGTTCATATATGATGTTCATGATAAATGGGTGAACTTTTAAGTGGTGGTTCTTAGGTTTCCAACTGCCTCAAGGAGGGTCACATGGGATTGATCACAGGATTCCTTTTTTGCAGAAAACAGAGACTGTACAAAGGGACTTTATAGTAAAGGTGTTGGGAAGTTGACTCAAAAGTTTCACAGCAGGCCTGGTGCGGTGGCTCACACTTGTAATCCCAGCACTTTGGGAGGCCGAGGTGGATGGATCATGAGGTCAGGAGTTCGAGACTAGCCTGACCAATATGGTGAAACTCTGTCTCTACTAAAAATAGAAAAATTAGCCAAGCATGGTGGTGGGCACCTGTAATCTCAGCTATTAAGGAGGTTGAGGCAAGAGAATCGCTTGAACCTGGGAGGCAGTAGTTGCAGTGAGCTGAGATCATGCCATTGCACTCCAGCCTGGGTGACATAGTGAGACTGTCCCCACCCCACCACACACAAAAAATTCATAGCTATTCCACAGGACTGGAAAGTAGAAGCACAGCCATGGCCTTGTAGCTGGAAATGGCTCAGCTGCATGTGTCCATTGAAAAGAATCACCTCCAGCTCTTCCTTCATACCTGATGTCACCAGTTCATGATGCAAAGTCCCAGAAGGATCTCATTGGCTGAGCTCAGATCACGTGACTATCGCCATGATCATGTGGCCATCTCAAGACAGTAAGAGGACACAGCTGGCCCCTTTTGTATTTGTCATTCCCCTACAGGGGCTACTCATCTTGGAAGACAGAGATAATTTCCCACAAGACATTATGCTGATTCTGAGAAGGGGGTTGGATGTTTGTACCAAACTAGCAAGTGTTCACTGCAAGTGGCCTATCCCAGACACTGTTTGAAGAAGGCTTTGTAGACAAACAGTTAATGTGGAATGTTCCTGTAGCATTTTCTTTACTATAACATGGTATTTGTCACGCCATGATCATTTAATACCTTCAGTTGAGCAAAGTGATATAGCACACATGAATCAGTTGTGTGTTCCAGGGAAATGGGCTCTGAGGTAGCACATGAAGAAGATGGATTTTATTTACAGGGCAACAGGGCAAAAGTATTGCATGGGATTCAAGACCTTAGGGAGAAAGCATTGAATGCAGCAATGGAAGGAAAATACGAGTGAAGCAGTGGGAGACACTGGAAACGTGAAAATCAAATCTGATCTCTAAAGAGATAATCTTCACTAATCAGAATTATGTCTGATATTCAATGTGGAACAATTTGGGGAGTGTTCTGTGACCAGTGTGCTAGTGAGTGATGTCTGTGAGGGGCACCTTCCTGCAGATGAGTGGAAAAGGTCTGTGTGCATGGGCAAGAAAGTTTCTCCGGAGAGCCACGCAGCTGAGCTTGGACTACAAGAAGCATCTATTTCTACAATCACAAGAAGCAGTCATTCCACAACCACATGGGCACTAGATATTCCAAATGCCATATTTTAGGAGATCCTTCAAGGGAAATATCATACTCCCAGACATAGACACCTGGCAGAAAGAATGACAAAAAAAAGAAAAAGAAAAGAAAAGAAAAGAAAGAAACAGACGGTTGGTGGAGATAACTGGAATTATTGTTAATGGAAAAGAGAAGACCCCATTGCACAAGTTTTGATCTCCCCAACCCCAATGCCTTGAAGTGTAACTGAGTAAAACATGAACATTCCTCTATAGTTCTGTGGTGCCATCTTTGTTGTAAATCAACTGTCGGTGCATGTGTAGATTTGTTTTTAATCTCCTTATTCTGGTCCATTGATCTATTTGTACTTGTACTAATATTAAATCATTTGAACTATTCTGGCCTCAGAATAATTCCTAGTATCAAGTAGAACAAGTTCTCCTACTTTATTTTCAAGAATGCCTTGACTATTCCTCATCTTTCTTCATTTTCATGTAAGTTTAAGAATGAGCTTGTTAAATCATACTCCCAGATAAACACACACAAATGCAAAATATATGCACATAGTCTGTTGGTATGTGTGCTAGACCCTTTTCCAATGTCTCATATAACTCACATGCTATGCTTGCTTTGTTTTTGTTTCTTTTATCTCTCAGTGTTTGAATATAGATATTTATGTTGATCTGTTTTTTAGTTCATTAATTCTATTTTCCCTTGTGTTCAATCTTCTACTAAACCTAGCCATTGAGTTCTTTTTCATATTTTAGTTATTGTATTTTATGTGATCTGAATGCTGTGTATCCTCAAAATTCCTATGTTGAAATCCTAACTCCTAAATGAAGGTATTAGGAGGTGGGGCTTTTGTGAAGGTTATGAGGGATCCAGCCTCATAAAGGGTTAGTATCCCTATAAATTAGGCCCAAAGGAGCTTGTTCACCCTCTACTGCATGAAGACACAGTTACAAGGTGTCATCTAAGAGGAATGACCCCTTGCCAGACACTGAATCTGATGATGCCTTGATCTTGGACTTCGCAGCCTCCAGAATTATGAAAACAAATGCTTGTTGTTTACAAGACACTCAATTTTGTGATTGCAACTTGAAAGGACTAAGACAGTATTGGGAAGTTCAAAAATGTCCATCTGACTCTTTTTATGTACTTTATTTTTTAACATTCTCCATATTTTCATTCATTTTTGTTCTTTTCTCCAACATCTTTAACTTAGCATATTTATTTTGAAGACTTTTTCTGACTAATCTAGTATCTGGATTATGCTGAGTCTGCTTCTGTTGATTATTTTGTCCCTTCATGGTCAAACATTTTTTTCTGCTTCTCTGTGTAATGATTTCTGACTATGTGTAAGAATCTGTGTATGAGCCATTGTAGATGCTAAAATTTAGTTTGTGCTTTTTTTGGTTTGGATTTTGGTTTCCTGAAGGGAGCTTTAGATTTTGATTTTGTTGTTACATTACCAGCAGGTCACCTTTGAAACTTAGTTTCAGCTTAGTGACAATAGGTCTATTTCCATTTTGCCTGTCCTTCCAAGACACAGCACTCAGAGCTGTGTGCAGTGCAGGAATGCACTGCTGGGTCATGGTTGTCTTTCCTCTGAAGATACAGTACTCAGTGTTGCGCATGGTGCAGGGCTGCACCACCGGGTCACAGGCTTCCTAAAGTCTCAACTCCGTAACCCTTCCACTCTGGCCAGGCACATCATAATGTTTCTCCAGGATGGAGATGCTTGCTCAGCTCTCAGCCTCCCATTTGTGGTTCCCTGCCAGTTCCTCTGGAGTCTTGCCTGCAGTTGGAGTTGGTCAAAGTCCCCCAAATTCTGTTGGAGAATGCTTCTCTGTAGTACCATCTCTTCTAGTAGGCTGCCCTGAGAGGTCACAGCTGCCTTAGCATTCCCCATCTTTATTCCCTATGGATGTCACCCTGCAAGACCACTGCTCTCTGCTGGGGCTCTGTCCTCTGCACCAAGAGTTTGGAAGGTGCCCTCAGGGGGAATGCTGGCATCAATGTGAGGTCCCACCTGTGCTCTGCTCCTCTCAAATCCTTACATACCTACACTGGTTAAAGTCTGATATCTGCTGACATTTGTCTTACAAAGTTCCTCTAATTTCATTTTATTTTCTGTTTATTGCCAGAGAATAAGTCTAATATTAATTTTTCTGTCTTAGATGTAGCTGAAGGTCCATGCACTTATTTAGATATTAGGAATATGTTAGAGATGCAGAAGAGAAGTAAGGTGCTAATAACTGCAATAGTCAAATGGGGTGTGTGTGTGTGTATGTGTTTACTTTCGGTCAGCACCCATAATATTTAAAAAATGATAAACAATAGAAATTAATAAAAGATATTCAAATGGTCAATGATGTCAGGAAAGAACAAATACATTTTGTTTTCATTATTTTCCAATCAACTTTCAGAGTTTACAGAGATTACAAATTCCATTGATGATGAGGTTGAGGGATTAGTGGGAATACCCATTTACAGTGCTTAAATGTAGAAATTAGGGCAACCTTTTTGGAGGACTATTAGACAAAATGTATCAAATTTTTGAAAAATGTAAATACTGTTGTACAAGCAATTCAGTTTTTAGGAATTTTCATAAAGAGCTTGTTAATCATGGGTTCAAGACCAGAGCTCTAAAGATGTTCATCTCACTGTTGTTTATATAGAAAAGAACGTGAACACTAGCTAGTGATTTATTAGATGATACAGTGTACATCTTAAGGTCATTAAAAATTATTTAAACATAGGAAAATGTCCATTTGTTAAGTGAAAATCTATAAATTATAATCCTAGTCTTGGGATGGGGGAAATATGTATGAAAAGACAGTGGGTGATTTTACCTTATTTTTGTGTGTGCCTCCATTACTACCATAATAAATATTAATTGATTTCAAATTAGTAAAGAGAAGGTCATTTTTATCTTTAGAAACTTTCAAATTCTAAAATAAAATATAAGTATAAAATTCTACAAATTTTGATGGAGAAAATTAAAAATATCTTTCTGTTTGATAGCAAATATCTTTTAAACCTTTCTTCCATATGTTATTCTATTGGTTAATTCTTCTTTTGCTGCTAAAGGAAGTGGCTGTGGATCAAAGTACTAATGCAAGTGTTCATTGAGCTATTTCAATAATAAATGAACAAATTAATTCATTTTTTAATTTGGCAAATTATTTTTATATTCGTGTTTTAGGTTTGTAATATCACTTGTTATTCAGCTAAGCTTTTATTAAATTTGCCAAATGTAAAATCTTTTAAAGCTTGATGATAAAATTTTTTTTTAGTTTTACAGTTCTCTAAATGTTTTGTCCTACTGAAAACAAGTCACTTAAATCTGACCCATTTCCACTCCTGATGGTATTTTTCTAATCCTTGCTTTACTGCCTAGGTATAAATTTAAACAGTAGCTTAAGTTCAGGCCACCAAGGATTGGGATAAATGCACATTCCACTGCATGATATACGAAAACAGCAGGTGAGAATGGTCTACAGAAAGAAGTGTCTATATTTTAAAATTGACAGAAATTATTTGAGTTCGGTACGCACACATGGGGATTTTTCTTCTAAGGCCATTTTGATTAATTTAATCCACCACGACAAATTCACAATTCAATATGAGAGGTAAGGGTGCCTGAAGATGCCCTTTGCTATCCCCCAAGGGGAAAAAATATGTCTAAGTAAGAGATGAAAACATGGCAAGCCTAAGTAGGTGATAAGGATCTGAACTGTGGCTGGCGTGATAATGCAGGAGTGACAGCTCTGGGAGAAGAGCAGGGTGCCCTGCATTTGCGCTGCTCATGCAGGCGCAGGGATGGATGGAAACTGGCTTTCCACACTCACTGTTTCCTCCAGCATCAGCAAGGAAATGAAGGTTCTGAATGCTTGGATTACACGCCCAGATCAGTACCTGCAGATATTTATTTATTAAATAGAAATTGTGTTTTCTAAATAATTAAGCTCTTGCGTTTTCTTACACTATTCCCCCAAAAAATATTGTCAAGCTTCCAAAAAGCAATTGTTTCAATTTGTGAAAAAAAAAAAGAAAAGAAAAGAGAGAATAAAAGAAGAACATAGATTACATCTAGATTAACTGAGCAAATGTGAATTGTCTTTCTCTAAGTTTCCACTTGGTTAAGTTTGATTTCCTTGGGTGATCTTAAATATTTATTTTCTCTGCTTCTTCTAAAGTCTCCTCAGTTTTTATCCACCCATCCATCCATCCATCCAACCATCCACCCATCCACCCATTCACCCAGCTATTCAGCCAGCCATCCACCCAGCTACCCACCCATCTACCCATCCAGCCATTCACTCATCCACGAATCCACTATCCACCCAACCATCCAGCCATCCAGCCAGCCATGCACCCATGCACCCAAACATCCATCCACTCATCCACCCACCCATTCAGCCAGCCAGCCACCCATCCAGTAATTCACCATTCAGCCAGCCAGCCAACCACCCACCCATCCACCCCATCCAGCCATTCACCCATCCACTCATCCACTATCCACCCAATCATCCATCCAGCCAGCCAGCCAGCCACCCTTTCACCAAATCACCCATCCACCCACTCTCAATTCATCCATCAATCGAGCACCCTCTATTATCGGGTGTTAAGCTGGGCATGCACACAGTAGTAAACTCATGGGTTTTGAGGTTTGTGGAGGTGCAGACATTAGACATATAAGTTCACACATAGTTAGAGATCACAATGGTTATAAACATTATGAAAGCAACTGTGGGGCCTTACAAAGTCATCACATAAAAGACATATAAAATCTAGAGACAGTCAGAGACCGGGTCAAGGTTGCTCTGGGGTGGACAGGAAAGTGACATCACAGCTGAGCCCTGGAGTGCAAGAGGCGGAGTATCCCAGACAGAAGAAACAGCATGAGGGATGCCTTATGGCAGAGAAGGTTAACACTTTTAAGGAACTGAAGGAAGGCAGCTCTGCTGAAGTTCAGGGCCCAGTGAGTACCAATGCAGTGGAAGAGGACTGTGGGTGCAGGGGAATCAGGCTGGATCCCTTGTGTCTGGTCCACTGTGGAAAGTTCTTCACTTTACTGAAAGTGAAGTGAAAAGCAACCGAAGAGTGCAATGTACTGGAGCAATGCCTTCAAATTTTGATTTCTACAATATCTAAAAATTAATTCTGCTCCCTCAAAAAATATCCTGGAGGGAGACAAGGTTATAGCTGCTGGTTCTGGAAAGCAAGCACTGCCAGAACTCAATGTAAGAAGATGAGCTAAAATAGAGAGGTTGAGGAAGGCGGGAAGATGCTGACACAGAACAGACTCCCTGGAGTCTGAGGGTTGGGTCCCTTGTCACAGGGATCCAGGAATGTCAGGGTGGAGAGAAAGGGAGCTTTCGAAGATGGCTTCCTAGGCCTGACCCATGCAATTGGGTCTGGAGAAGGCCATTCAGAGGGACAGGGAAAGCTGGGGGCAGGCAAAGAGTTCAGTTCTGAGCACATGATGTTTGAAATGCTGGGAAAAAATCCAAGTCCAAGTGCACATGCAACATAGACAATAATCCCATAGTTAAAATAAAATAAAAGGTCTGGCTGGAGGGCACATGTAGTGTAAGTGACATCATTTATTAAATATGCTTGAGTGTCTTAAATCATAATAAATAATGATTCTATTACTTTACCTCATTCGCTAAGAGGTAAGAAAAAAATATCAGATATATGGACTTTTATTGTTTCCTGGAAAAATCAATTAGGATAAATTTTTTTCCAAAGCTTAAACTAAAATCAGTCTTTAAGGATGGGAGGACCTCAGGAAGGTCTTGAGAGGACTGCAGAGACCTGCTACCCCCCAACCCCCGTGGACACCTGCAGTCAGCTCTGAGTTCTGAACATGCATAGGCCTCACAACAGGCATCCAGCTACTATTCGCATAGGATTATCTGCATCCTCACAGACATAGCTAATTTTTTTGTATTTAGTTAACTAATAATCTATAAGTGGAAAACATGGAAATGTCCATTTTTATGTGAAATTTCCCATTTGAAAAGTGAGTTGGTAAGTTACTAGTCTATATTGTTCACTTGGCACATAGCTTAGAGATCTGAGTTTATTTAACATGAGTTGATTTCCCTTGGGTGATCTTAAATATTTATTTTCTCTACTTGTCCTTAGTTTTCATCCACCCAGGCAACCAGCCAAACATCCATCCACCCATCCACCCATTCACCCACCCATTCAGCCAGGCAGCCAGCCACTCAGCCACCCACCCATCTACCTATCCAGCCATTCACTTATCCACCCATCCACTATCCACTGATGTGGAGGCCCTGAAGCCAGCAGAGCCAAAGTGATTCCACAAATCATGGCATGGGTTTTCTATAGGAAGTTTGTTTTTTTATTTCTTATATTTCTGTAACAGGTTTTTTTTTTTTCCCTTGATGAACAACTTTTTATTAAAGAAAGGTGGGATGGAGAAGGAACATTGTTAATCACTGGCTCAATGCCAGGCCCTGGCATCAGTCATTCCTTTCCTGGGAGCTGACATGCAATGGGAATGGGTGGTGAGCAAGCAGACAAGGGTGCTGCCCCAGGGATTTCTGCTAGAGGAAGACACTGGGAGAGTGATATGGTTTGGCTGTAACCCAACCCAAGTCTCCCCTTGAATTGTAATAATCCCCACATGTCAAGGGTGGGGCCAAGTGGAGATCATTGAATAATGGAGGTGGTTTCCCTTACTGTTCTTGTGGTAGTGAATAAGTCTCAGAAGATCTGATGGTTTTATAAAGGGCAGTTCCCCTGCACACGCTCTTTTGCCTGCTGCCATGTAAGACATGCCTTTGCTCTTCCTTTGCCTTCCACCATGATTGTGAGGCCTCCCCAGCCATGTGAAACTGTGAGTCCATTCAACTTCTTTTTCTTTAAAAATTACCCAGTCTCAGGTATGTCTTTATTAGCAGCATGATAACAGACTAATACAGAGAGCAACAGACGTGGGATTGGAGGTCGAGTGCTTCCTCATATGTTCTATGAACGAAAATAAAGCAGAGTTACAGGTAGAAAATCGCACGGTGGTGGCTAGACATGATGGTCAGGGCAACCCTCTCTACAGAAGGCACAAGTGGACAGAGTCCTGGGGGGCTCTAGGAGCAAAGCCAGGGAAGGCTCTAGCAGCCAGAAGGCTGGAGTGGTGTTAGAGACATGTTGGCATGTGGCCACCTGAGGATCTTCTAGAAAAGTGGATGGATAATGTCTTTATCGGGAATGCTGAGGTGAACAGAGAATCAGATTATCAGAGGCTGGAAAATAAAGGAGAAACAAAGGCGGTGGATTATGCACACGGACACTGAAGCCAACAAGAATGAGGTCATTGTTGATTTACGCGTAGTTCAGGGAGAACATGCAGGGTTTCAGCATTGTTAAAGAGAATATACATGCTGAAAGAAACTGAAGAAAACATGAGAAGAAATTGCAGATTCTGACATAATAATCTCCATGAAAGAACAACAATTTTTACTTTTGCATCTCTGTTTTACCCATGTGAATCAATGCTCACACTGAGAGGCTCACTGTGGCTGGAGTTAGGCCCCAGCTGGGGTTCCCCAGAGTGGAAGGAGAATACCTCACTCTTTGGGAGCAGAACTCCCAAAAACTGGGCTGTATTTTCCTTGTATTCTCAATAATTTGAATAGTCTATATTTTTTTCATGGATGGAATGTCTCCTAATTGTAAACTTTTATCTTAAAATAGTCAGCCCAAATTTCCTTATTAAAAAATGTAATCAGAATTACTTTCCCCCATGTCATGTTAAGAACAAAAACATATTAACAGAATTACCAAATCCTATTAGGAAAAAAATACATATTCTTTTTCACTTAGTATAAAAGAGTGTATGTAGCTTTATAGATGAGAAATTGTATACTTTATATGCTTTGTTACAAGTATATGTTTTACTTCCAGGGAATTTTCTCCCAATTTTTTACTCAGCTTACTCAGTCCCACTCAGTCTTCAAGATTCAGTTGTAGAGTTTCATTTTCAGCCATGCAATGTATTTTAAGTATGTTTACTTTGAACAAAACAGCCAAGGAAATGCTTCCTTGCTAAGTATGAGGTAATCAGATGTTTTTATACCCAGGCAAGTTAAAATACATAATTACAAATAGCATCTTTCCCTGTCACAGAAATCCCCTCTAATCTTGCCTAAGCCACTTTTGCTCACCCGGCACATTCAGGGCCATTTAGAAACCCAATGAAACAGTCAGTAATTTACTTGTTTCTTAAACAATGTGTAATTTAAAATACTGATCGCATTGATTTTCCACTTTAAACAGAAGAAGAAGAAACTTCACTCCTCATTTCAATATAATTGTGTATTTACAATGAAATCCCCAAACCATGGCATTATAAAAAGGATGACATGTTTAGTGCTACTGAATAGCCAGAAATTTTCTTCATTTGCACCATTTATCTTTCATTTATGTTGTTTATTGAAAACTTCTGCAAAATATCAAGAAATGCAGCAGGAAATTGCTCATATGAAGAACTGCAAGACGCTGGTGCTTTGCATGTACAATAGAGGTGATGGCTACTGCCAACACCTACACCACTTTAGATCTGTTTATTTTCACAGGTGAACATTAACACACATACGGCCACACGACCTGGAAAATTTGCATTTGAAAGAATCCATCAGGACAATAACATTGACAATTTTTTTTTCCTTTGGAATCTGGACATGATCTTAAAGCTTACAATTAATGGAAAGAATGCTAAACAATAAATGCATATGATTTAATCTATTTTATATATCATTGGTTCATGTTCCGATTTTAAGAATTTTAATGTACTCATTAAGATAGAATGTAAGGTCTTCATTGAATCATTGAAGGACACATGAGCTCTTGGTGTTGTAGTGACAACAGGCAAAGCATTCTGGTTAAGAGAGCAGATTAACTGTTCATGTTCAATGACATTTTGGCACCTCACTTTTAGAGAAAACATTAAGCTTATTTTTTACTTTTAACAAGATGGTGTTGTTCCACTTTTATCATTTTTTTTACCTGAAATAATAGCAAAATTAAAATTACCTTTAGCCTCATGTTTAACATACCCACAATTTTAAAACATTTGCTGACCCAAATGTAAGAGCCCCATGTGTGCCTTTCTGATTCTCTTCTTAAGCTATTTTTCACATTCTCTTCCAACAATGCTGTTGTCTCCAGGCCGACCTTTGAGGTCACACTCTCTGGTTGCGTCCAGTCTGTCACTCACAGAAAATAAAGTGAGGTGCAAGCCCTGCTGTTTTCAGCCCATAGCCATTCCCACCCCTCTCAAGTCTCTCTGAAATCTGAAACCCCTTTCACTACACTATGTTAACGTTTGCAGACTCTCATTTTCTTCCTAAAAAGTATATTGAGTACAGTTGTTTCTTCTATGAAAAATCATGATTGTAGCAGCTTCATCATCATCATCATCATCACATCTAGTATTTATTGGGGGGTTAGTAAGTGCCATGCAAGGCACTATGTATTTCCCATGCAGTTTCTCTGTTATTCCTCACAATGACCCTGGAAGATTCTATTCTCTAGTTTATAAAGGAGGAAACAAGGCTCAGAGAGGGTGAGTAACTTGTCTAAGTTCACAAAGCTGGTAAATTCAGAGCCAGCCTTTTTGAACCAGACTCACTCTACCACACGGCCTACCTTCCTACTTGGAGGTACTAAATCTCCCATGGTTGCCTGCAATTTATGTGGGTGAGATGTCGCAGCATAGATCTGTACTTACAAAAATAGTCACCTTTTTCATTACACAGTTGTTTGCTTATTAGGCTCTCCATAGGAGAACTGAGCTCCAAAATACATTCTGAGTGTCAGTTCTCAGAGAGATGTGGAAAGCCGAGCTGAGACTTCCCCTTAGAACCATGTTATGGTGAGTGGGACAGTCCTTCACAGTCACTTGAAGCAAAAGCTTTATTTTATATAGGGGGAAATTGCATGCCTGAAAAGACAAGTGGCCTTTGCACTCTCTGTCAAGGAGCTAGAAGAGGAGACTAGTGGACTTCAAGCCACCTGTGAGCCCTGGAACGTGTGTAAATGTTTCATCAGATCCTCAAAGGTTCTGTAGCCAATAAAGGTCTTCAGCCTTTCCCTGAGACTTGATGGCCTTAAGAAGAGTTTAAACAGCAGGATGGGCTGGCCAGAGCTAGCCACTTTGCTGAAGGTCCTTCCAACCAGGGGTACGAGCATATCGGTTGAGGAAGCAGGTCTCATCTGCCAACCTTCCACCCAACACATCCACTCCAGAGGCAGGAGATGGTTGCCTGTCACCCCGGGCCCAAGCCTGGGAGGCTCAGACAATCTTTCCTTTGTTGTAAGTTCCAGAACCTTCTCAGAAGCTTAGGTCTGCCGCAATTGACCTGAAAGTAATTATCTCGATAGACTGCAGCACAGATGCCTGGATTAAAGTCACATTCATTGCAGGAAAATGCAGCATTTACCCTTAGAACTGGTGGGAATGAACCAACCCCAGCATCATGGTCAGCTCTTGAAGGGGCTTGAGGCTTCAGCTGCAGAGCCAGCTCTGAGTCCCACTGCCACATGGACACTTACCTTCTCTGTGACTGCACCTAGCACAGTTGGCCTGGATGACCCACAAGGTGACTACCCCATTCTAAAATACTATGATCTGCACAATTTTACCCAAAGCTCAAAGAATGCTTTCCCTCATCAAAACTGCCAGAAGAGGACATTTACGTGGATCTCATAGCCCATCCGCTAGGCAGTCATAAATCTTAGCCAGAGAAACAAGCAAGCCCAGGTGGCATTGCCGCCTTTCCTAACAGGCCTCGGGACTTTCAGATTTGTTCCCTGGAAATCCAGAAAAAGGGAGGTGCTTATTGATTAGAGGCAGTTTTTGCCTTGAGAAAGCATTTTGCTTGCTTATTTTGCTTTGTTTTTGTTTTGAGGCAAAAGGGCATAAGGAAGCCTCTGTTGTGGTTCCTGGTCGTCCCTCCACTACCACCACCTCTGTCCCCTGAACTAGAAGTGTCTGCACAGGCCCTGATGAGAACTGCAGCCGTGGCCCCTTGTGCCATGCTTTCCTCATGCTCACGGTTGCTTGGCAAACACATCTTCCCAATTCTCTCTTCCAAATGCCTGATGTCTCCTATTTTTATTTCTTTAAACCCATGGCGGCTGCCTGAAGTACTGGTATTGGCTGCTCCATGACTGAAGCTCCTGAGTGAGGCTTCTCCAGCGCACTTTGTTGGGCTCCCCATGCCTGGTAAGGGTCCCAGTACTGGGGCATGTGCCAGGACTAGGACATGCACGGTTGCAGGAACCCACGCTGAGCGTCCCGTCCCCATTGGTGCCCATTGATGCTCCAGGCTCCACACCTGGAGGCTGAACGGACCTGTCCATCTTCCCAAACATCCTCTCCTGTGTCCTGCCCCCAACCCCCAACTGCACTTCCCAGTCCCGTCACCGTCCCAGAAAATGCCCGTTTGTCTTGTGCCGGACCCGATGTTTGCTTTTCCTCCTCTGGTGGGCGCCCCCATCGTCTTGTAGGATGCTTTTCTTCTTCCACAGACATTGGCAGAGCTTCATCTACATTTGAAACAAAAAGACCCTCCCTTCCTCCGCATTGCAGAGGGATTACCAGCCATGACCAGGTCTGTGAGAGGAGTTCTTAAAAAAGGAATATATATACATATATATTTTTATATTTTTATACATATTTTATTTATATTATATATTTACATATTTTTATAATATAAAGAATATAATATAAATAATATAAATATAATAAAATAATATATAATGTTATATATTATATTATATAACATATTATATAAATATGTATTATATAAATAATATAATATATAATATAATATTAAATATATAATATAAAATATATAAATTATATATTTATATTATTTATATTTTAAAATATATTTTATATATTTTTATATATACATATACATGTATATTTTTTGAGACAGGGTCTGGCTCAGTTTCCCAGGCTGAAGTGCAGTGGTGCAATCTCAGCTCACTGCAACCTCTGCCTCCCGGACTCAAGCGATTCCCATGTCTCAGCCTCCAGAGTAGCTGGGACTAAGGGCATGCACCACCTCGCCCCGTTAATTTTTGTATTTTTAGTAGAGACAGGGTCTCACTGTCTTCCCCACGCTGGACTCGAACCCAGAGCTCAAGCTATCCTCCTGTCTTGGCCTCTCAAAATGCTGGGATTATAGGCCACTGGGCCCAGCCTGTGTAAGGAGCTCTTAGCAGAGAGCACAGCATGATATAAAGTGTCAGTTAAAGCTCTTTATCATTCTTCTCAATTTTAATAATGCTATAATCATTGCTTTCTTTTTATTTCACATTGCTTTCCATGGCTTTATTTGTTGTTTTTGGTTTGTTACTGAATAACAACAACAAAAAAGCTTCTCTCTATTACTATAAGAAATAGGAAAGAAAAGAAGCCTAGTTCCACACACACTCTCTGGTTAAGAAAAAGTGAACAGCATGTGAGTAAATTTAATAAAATCCACTCAAGACCTAATCATCCTGGAGATGTGCTAATTTCAATTTCATATTGTCAGGCCTCTGAGCCCAAGCCAAGCCATCGCATCCCCTGTGACTTGCACGTATATGCCCAGATGGCCTGAAGTAACTGAAGAATCACAAAAGAAGTGAAAATGCCCTGCCCCGCCTTAACTGATGACATTCCACCACAAAAGAAGTGTAAATGGCTGGTCCTTGCCTTAACTGATGACATTACCTTGTGAAAGTCCTTTTCCTGGCTCATCCTGGCTCAAAAAGCTCCCCCACTGAGCACCTTGCGACCCCCATTCCTGCCCGCCAGAGAACAAATCCCCTTTGACTGTAATTTTCCTTTACCTACCCAAATCCTATAAAATGGCCCCACCCCTATCTCTTTTCACTGACTCTCTTTTTGGACTCAGCCCGCCTGCACCCAGGTGATTAAAAGCTTTTATTGCTCACACAAAGCCCGTTTGGTGGTCTCTTCACACGGACGCGCATGAAACGTATATTTTATGTTATTTAGGAGGAAGGAGTAAAACCTAGCATTATTAACTCTAGTTGAGAAAGAAAAGAGTTGAATAGATACAATTCCGTTGCTTATGATTCAATTGTATTTTTACGCTAAAGTCAACTAGATGGGAAAATGACTATATCTTTAGCCTCGGGAATAATGTGCCTACAGTCACATCAGCCTTGGAGGAGCTAATTGAGACTGGGATTTTTAAAGTAACGTTAAAAACCCAAGTGGTCAAAGTTGAATTTAGCATCACTGTAGAAAGCTTGAAAAAAAAAAAGTGAGGCCACAAATTCTCAATATTTTATTTCATTCCTGTATTCTGCACATCTGTACAAAAAATCATTGAGGAATTTTTACATTGCAGATCAAAAACGCATGTTTCTTAAAATCATATATTCAAGAGCATGCAAATGAGACAGGAGAGGGTGACCCTCAGCCCTGCTTCCTTTCTCCTCCAGTTGACCTTGAAGTCACTAATCCAAAGGGACCCAGAGCCTGTACAAAGAGTTTCTTCCAGTCGCCGGGTAAATTAGATCACCGCTATTGCTGTCAGCCGCAGAGAGCGCTCACTGTATTCCACGGCTGCATATGCTGGCACTGACGTGAAGTCATCGTGATGGTCTTGCAATCTAGATAAATACAGTTGGAAGTGGCGATTCCATTTTAAAGGAGAAATATTCAAAACAGCATTTCACAGCAGGTGAAGGGCAGAGAATAGTTTCTGTAGGGGGTGGGCAAGGGGAGTCCAGGGAGATGGGCGGGACTTGCAGAGTTGATTGTGATTTATAATCAATATTAACCATATCATACACAGGGAGGCACTGCCGGCAGAAAGAAAGAGTTAGAGCTGGGCTTTTTTATCCAAGGAAGGTCATAATAAGATGGGTGAAATGATGAAAAAATTTATGGAAGGTAGTTGGCTCAACAATGGAGAAAAATACCTCTATTCTGATGATGAATTCTCTCCAGCGATCTTGCAAAAGTACTGGCCGCTGTTGTAAATTTGCTTGAGAACGAGGAGGGAAAGTTTAAATGAGATTTCTAGTGATTTCTGGCCTCACTGAGGGCTGGAAAATGACAATTATTCAATTTAAGAGATTTTCTGCCTGAAAAAGCATGGGAGGAGCACCCGGTTTGACGGCCTGGCGGACTAATGCAACCTTGTCCCAGAAAGCGCTCCACCTAAACGCCGCTAATCATGCTCACACCTGGGTTCCCACGTCAAGTAATGAAGGGCTCCGAGGATTGATCCCTGATTTCCATTGAGGGGAAGAGAGGAAAAAATGGCATTAACACTCCCAGGGGAGGTTTCTAGTAGACGGTTGCAAGTGATTTCACCAAGTAAAATTCCCAGAGAAACTCTAAAAGTGTCTCAGTGTTTCCTGGAGTTTGCTTTTCCTTTTGATTGCATTTTGAAGCTCTGTAGCATAGCGAAGATGCAGAGCTCCCAGCCCCTGATACACACGGAGGTGTTGTTAATACCAGAGCTGGGCGGCTGGGCACAAGGAGTGAGCAGCAGTGACCTACTGACCATGGATAGCGCTGCAAGCTAGGGACAAGGCCAGGCATGGCTCGATGGCTGAGATAACAACATACCCTTAGGTCCTCATTCCAAATACATGTACATGGATAAAACACATTTCTCCAATAGTTTGTGGACGTAGTCACTGGAATGACTATTTTCTTGTCTCTAAAATCCTGTGCCTCTAATGCAGACTATTTTTCTCGAAACCAATGTGAAGAAGAAAATTATCTCTTAAAAGGCCAATTGTTAAACAGGAATTAGTAGCCCTTTCCTTGGGTATGACTTTTACAAACATCAAGTTCATGAAGCCACTGCATAGAGAGGTAGAGATGTGGATGTGAGTGAGGATGTGGATGTGATTGTCAGTGTGGATGTGGTTGGGGATGTGAGTGTGAATGTGGATGTGAATGTGAATGTGGATGTGAGTGTGGATGTGGATTTGAGGGTGGATGTGGATGTGGGTGTAGATATGGATGACAGTGTGGATGTGGATGTGAGTGTGGATGTGACTGTGGACGTGGATGTGAGTGTGAGTGTGGATGTGGATGTGAATGTGGGAGTAGATGTGAGTGTGGATGTGGATGTGAGTGTGGATGTGAGTGTAGATGTGGATGTGAGCGTGAGTGTGGATGTGGATGTGGATGTGGATGTGAATGTGGGAGTGGATGTGAGTGTGGATGTGGATGTGAGTGTGGATGTGGATGTGAGTGTGGGTGTGGATGTGAGCCCGGATGTGAGTGTGAGTGTGGATGTGAGTGTGGATGTGAATGGGATTGTGGATTTGGATGTGAGTGTGGATGTGGATGTGACTGTGGGTGTGAAGTGTGGATGTAGATGTGAGTGTGGGTGTGGCTATGGATGTGAGTGTGAATGTGAGTGTGGAATACGGATGTGAGTGTGGATATGCATATGGATGTGAATGTGGATGTGAGTTGGATGTGGATGTAAGTGTGGACGTGGATGTGGATGTGAGTGTGGGTGTGGATGTGAGCCTGGATGTGAGTGTGAGTGTGAGTGTGTGGATATGAGTGTGGATGTGAATGGGAGTGTGGATTTGGATGTGAGTGTGGATGTGGATGTGAGTGTGGAAGTAAGTGTGGATGTGGATGTGAGTGTGGGTGTGGATGTGAGCCCGGATGTGAGTGTGAGTGTGAGTGTGGATGTGAGTGAGTGTGGATGTGAATGGGATTGTGGATTTGGATGTGAGTGTGGATGTGGATGTGACTGTGGGTGTGAAGTGTGTAGATGTGAGTGTGGGTGTGGCTATGGATGTGAGTGTGAATATGAGTGTGGAATACGGATGTGAGTGTGGATATGCATATGGATGTGAATGTGGATGTGAGTTGGATGTGGATGTAAGTGTGGACGTGGATGTGGATGTGAGTGTGGGTGTGGATGTGAGCCTGGATGTGAGTGTGAGTGTGTGTGGATATGAGTGTGGATGTGAATGGGAGTGTGGATTTGGATGTGAGTGTGGATGTGGATGTGGATGTGAGTGTGGAAGTAAGTGTGGATGTGGATGTGAGTGTGGGTGTGAATGTGAGTCTGGATGTGAGTGTGGATGTGAGTGTGAGTGGGGATGTGAGTGTGGATGTGGGTGTGGATGTGGATGTGAGTGTGGATGTGGGTGTGGATGTGAGTGTGGATGTGAGTGTGGGTGTGGATGTAGATGTGGATGTGAGTGTGGATGTGAGTGTGGGTGTGGATGTGAGTGTGGGTGTGGATGTGAGTCTGGATGTCAGTGTGGATGTGAGTGTGTGGGTGTGGATGTGGGTATGGATGTGGATGTGGGTGTGGATGTGGATATGGATGTGGATGTGGGTGTGGATGTGGATGTTGATGTGGATGTGAGTGTGGGTGTGAGTGTGAATGTGAATGTGGAAGTGTATGTGGATGTGGATGTGAGTGTGGACGTGGGTGGAGGTATAGATCATGTAGATATTTACACTGGTACAGATATTGATAAATATACCGATGCAGATACAGGCAAGTATAGTATATTGGCATAGATATTGGTGCTGATGTACTGATAAGGATACGTGTAGACAGAGATACATTTATGTATAGATATAGATATACAGGTATTGATTTGACGTAGATAATTATATTATAAAGATATTGATATAGATAGGTATAGATATTGATACATACAGAACTATAGATATAGATACAGACATGGGTATTGGCATAAACATACTGATATATGTATACTGATATAAATTGAGTTAGTAATTCAATTCAACAAAACTTTCATTGAACTTCTATATTTAGTGCACAATACTAAAGACCATAGTTGACGGAAAATCCCAGTTTAACCCTCCGGCTCATGCTGTTTACACTCATGAAGTAAACTTGGCAGGAGCAGGGAGAAACCATTTTAGTTATTAAAATAATACATATGATTACTGGATAATCATGCAACTTGATGACAAAATCTATGTTCTAGAAAAGCACATTTCTAAGCAATCTCAGCATAGTCTTGGCTATCTGTCCTGCCACAGGGGAGCTTCAGTCAGAATGTCGAAGTATTTCTCATTGGGACATTAGCATACCCCTTTCACGTCAATATCAGGGCATGGCAGTTCCAGTGAACTGACAGGTGGGGTCATTCCATCTCAGTTCCTTGACATGGAAACAAAAGGGACAGGTTAGGATGGAGGACACCATTGGACAGGAGCCCCTCCGTCTCTTCCCCAGACACTGTGGTCCCTTTCTTTGGGCCAGAAGCTCAATCACAGGTCTCCTTCCCCAGCCACTGTCCTCCCGAACCAGACATTCCAATGCCAAGACAGACATCACTCACCTGTTCCCAGATGGGATTGTTTTGTAGTTTGTATTGAAGCATAGTGTTTGCACAGATTCGCGGGGGGGAGGGACAGGCTGTTTTGATGCATGTGTGGAATGTGTAGTGATGATGACAGAGTATTTAGAGTCTCCATCACCTCCAGCATTTATCATTTATTTGTGTTAGGAACATTTCAAATATTTTCTTCTAGCTATTCTGGAATATACAATACATTGTCGTTAACTGTAGAGTCACCTCCTGTACTGCGGAACAGACCTCATTCCTTCTCTCTGACTGCAGGTTTGCTCTCATTCACCAACCCTCCCCACACACCTGCTTCTCAGCAGACCCACTGGGGCCTGTCATTCTACTCTCTGCGTCCATGAGATTACAATTTTGGGCTTGCACACGTAAGTGAGAACACATGATATTTGTCTTTCTGTGCCTTATGCTTTTGATTTTTGAACATACTAGTGTTCCACTTAAGAGAAAGGGATGGATATCCGTCCTGTCACAGGGGAGGATGCTGTGGACATCACAGCTCCAGGTTCTGATCCCAGGCAAGATTGAAAGTGATATTTTCACTGACAGTTAAGCCAGAGGGAAAAACCCCACTGGAATAAGGGCCAAGGTATTCCTTTCCATTGGTCTTTATAGAAGTGGATCAAAAGCATGGCGTGGCTAAAACATGAGTGGATTAGAAGTGTTTGGTGTATGCTAATAGTGCTTCTTTATCCAATAAGGAGAACTCTATTCACAAAAGAAATTGTCTGTCTGTGAGGAAAAGTTGTATGAAATAGGAAATGCGAGCTGTGGTAAAGAACTAGATATTTATCTTCTTGGTCATATTTGGTATTTTATGCATATTTGGGCATGCTTGTGAAAACACACACACGTGTGTGTGTGCACGGCAGTGACAGCCCATAGGTACAGTCTCCAGCCATCCCATGCAATGTTTTCGAAGTGTTTTTCCATGTAACCACTCAACCACCCTGTCAAGTCAGGATTATTATTAAATGGTAGACACGGAACCTGAAGCTCAGAAATATTAATAGCCAGCAACTTGCAGGGGTCGCCGAGGGTGTGAGTATCCGAATCAGGACTTTAAATCCGATTTTGACAAGTTCTAACCCACAGGTTCTTAAGCACTGCTGTGTGGGCTCTTCAGTTCAATGAGGTTGAGAGTTTCATGAAAATAAATTATTCTCTTTTTATCTCCCCTAATGCCATATCTACCCATTACTCTAGTTGCTAAGTGAGACTGCAAGCAGCACCCTGCTAGCAGAATGCCACAGGCTTGCACACAGCCACCTCCACCTGCTGCAACCTTCCAGTAAACTTTCCCTTTCATGGAGGTGAGGAAAATGGGGATAGTCTCAGAAATGATAGCTAAACCAAGGGTGCACAAACACATTATTTAGAAAAGAGCTTTACCAATAAGCCTGCACATAGTCTAGTCCCCAAAAGATGACAAATAAGAGGCGTACCTAAGTATTTCTCATGCTTTAGTGCAATACCCTCCATAAATTTTATGCATTTTAGAAGCCCAGAAAGTTACCTTTGAAAGTTCACTTAAAGCTATCTTTGGAGCTCTTCATCAAAAGAAATGGAGACTGGAGCTTAGCTACGACTTTAACTTCCATCTGTTCCATGATGCTGTAGCAATCTCAGCCCGCAATTGGCATGGAGCATGGCAAACATTACTCTACAATGCCCTTTATGAAACATCAATGTGCTCGCAATCCAATAATGAAGTGCCACAGAGCATCTGTTTGTATTCCCAGGCAGTGCAAGGACCGGATTTCTGAGGAAGGACTCACCAGCATCTGGTTGAAATGAACTGTGTAATTTTAGTATCTTTCAGATTTTTATTTTGCCAAAAGAAACACCCATTTCATGTAATGATTACTTATTTTTTTAACCCTGAGACTTAATAAAAATGGTAATTCCAAGTTGCAAATGTGTATACAGGCCTCATGCATATTTTAGGAGCTAGCCATAGGAACCCCAGAACTAACAAAGCTCACAGAGCACCCTTATTTTCGTCTAACGCAAACAGCAGGTGAACTGAGCTTCCCATGGCCATTTGAGGGAAGACTGTCACAACTCTATGGACGTTATGTTTTTTGTTTTTGTTTTTGTTTTTGAGACAGAATCTCACTCTGTCGCCCAGACTGGAGTGCAGTAGCGAGATCTCGGCTCACGGCAACTTCCGCCTCTCGATTCAAGCGATTCTCCTGCCTCAGGCTCCTGAGTATCTGGGACTACAGGCAAAGTCACCACGCAGGGCTAATTTTTTGTATTTTACTCGAGACGGGATTTCACCATGATGCCCAGGCTGGTCTTGAACTCCCGAGCTCAGACAATCCGCCCACCTCGGCCTCCCAAAATGCTAGGATTACAGGTGTGAGCCATCATGCCTGGCCTTTTTTTTTTTTTTCAAATCTCAGAAATATAAAATCATTCAAGAGGTTTGCTATACATCTCCAAACTTCTCAGCCCACCTAAAGGATGGGTTTCTAGAGAAGAGGAGAATCCCAACTTTGGTGGAAAGTCACAGCCAAGTGCAGATAGGGTCCATTCACTGGGAGTCTTCCCTTTCTGCGGTAGGAAAAAGAGAGACATCTGCATTGCCTGGGCTGCCGCTCCTTTCCTCCTGGCCTGGGCTCTGCCTGCAGCTGAAAGCCATGGCAATCACGCCACGGAGCACGACATCATCGCCCTGCCAGGGTGGGTTGGCCTATGTGTGCATCATGCATCTCACTCTAGGCGCGACTATTTCACCAAAGCGTAGACAAGGCTGGGCCAGGTGGCCAGACTTTCCCTAGAGGTCCAGGCAAAGCCCTACAGAGCGCAGTGGGGAGTGGCCCGCAGCTCCCTCCACAACTGCTCTCCAGAAACAGCCACAGCCCTGACCGTCCAGAAAAGCAACACAAACAGAAAGCAATGCCAGACAGGCCCGGGGCAGGTGGCACATCCAACAGAGGCTGGGGAACGGCCTCCAGATGACCTTGTGACTGTCAGTGAGTCGCACTCCCCTTGCCAAGTGGACATTTTCACACCAGGGTTTGCTGTCTCTTCGTAGCTGTTCTTTCCATCCAGGAGCCCAGCACATTGCCCATCGTTAAGCCCCATTTTTCCTATGACCAGTCTCAGATCCCACAGCAGCAGCTGCCCATCCTGGGCCCTCCCATCTGGGCTACCTAGAACTATTGTCAGGAGCCCACAGACCCCCTGGCCATATGTGATGTGGCAGATCAGGGCAAGAGAGAGTGCAAAAGCAAATAGGTACATTTTTGTAATTCTCAAAGGTGACAGTTCCTGAGATTCCATATTCATTAAAACTTCCTAGACTCTTAGACAGGTGACAGCATCTCCAAAGGAAGTAATGATGGATCTTGGCTTCAAATATACGTTTAATTGGAGTCTACGGCTTGTGATAAATATGTCTTTACTGGCCTTTCAACTAAGGACAATCGTGGTGATATTCCAGTGAATTGATGTGAGTTCCAAGGGTGTACTTGGGACCTCGTGCAGGCGCCCATGCCTGTAACCCCAGAACTTTGGGAGACTCAGGTGGAAGGATTGCTTGAGCCCAGGAATTTGAGACCGGCCTGGGCAACATAGCAAAACTTCATCCCTAAAACATTTTTTAGAAAATTAGCCATGCATGGTGGCATGCACCTGTAGTCCCAGCTACTCAGAAAGCTGAGGTGGGAGGATTGTTTGAGCACAGGAGTTTGAGACGGCAGTGAGCTATTATCTCATCACTGCACTCCAGCCTAAGTGACAGAGTGAGACCCTGTCTCTAAAAAAAAAAAGAAACAAAAATACAAAAGTATAATTGCATCTTATTTGCTGGGTGGTTTAAGTATCATGTGAGGAGCTTTCTTATTTGTTTCTACAATAACATTACAAAATAAATAACATGATCCCACATTTGACCAATAATAAAAGTGAAACTCAGCCCCCAGATAAACAATGGCAGAGAAAAGATTCAAGCTGTGGCCTATCCAATTCTAATTACATAATCTTATTTTTATACATCAAACAAAATAATTCTTTTAGTTAGACATTAATTGGTTTGGATTAGCCCCAGCCTACATGGGCACCAAGTATGGATACCAAACCTTGGTTTCCATTCTCCTTTTCTTATTGTGTTTGTGATGACTTTAAAACAAAGAGCTCTGCGCTTTTTCTAAAATGCCTAAATTTGTATTAGTAAACACCAACAGATCACATTTTCAACATTCTCAACTTTTTGTTCTTAGAACATATTCGCCTATTGAAAAAATGGTTCATCTCAGGAGTCAAGACTTCTCTACAAACTTGCCTTAAAGTCCCTGCCATAACTTTGGCCGAAACTCAAATTGGTACACTGCATTTAAAGCTTCAGTAATTGATGACAGTACTGAGTAGCGGACACCTAGGAAAAGGGGCTACCACGGCAAGACTAAGAGACAGCAGAGGGGGCTGCTGTGGCTCCCCACTCCGGGCCAGCCCTCCTCCTGAAAAGGCGCGGTGGAACTCCACTACAGAAATGGTGGCTCCCACGCATCTAACGAACCATGGCTGGTGTCTTCATAAGCAGACAAGAGAGACGTAGTAAAAGCTTATATTTAAAATGTGTGTCCAGTACCTTCTCTGTGAACCACCAGGAGCAAAGAGGGGTAAATGTGATGGCTTTTGGTAGCCAGCTTTGGGTGAGTTTGCAACAGGAATCTGTTCTTTGAAAGCCCAGAGTGTTAGCTTTGAAAAGAAGTGCTCAGAGAGCCAGGAGCTAATGAGTTTCATCAGGGTGAATCTAGCAGCTCAAGTTTACCTGACCTGTTTCCAATGGCATCTGTCCCCATCCTAGGCAAGCAGGCTCTATCTGGCATCCATCGCAGCAGGGACACACAGCTGAAGAATGAAATGGAAACAACACTTCTAGGCTGTGCACACTCCAACCTGCCAGATACCACAGCTATTTTAAAACCATTTGCCAGGCCTCTTATGAAAACTTCCATGCAGGGGGAATGGGGGTGCCAATATAGTTGTAAGCCAAAGGCCCATTTTTCTTCATTTGATAGCTCTGAGCCTTCCTGCGGCCCCACAAGCAGGCAGCGAACAGGCAGAAAAGGGCAGGATGATTTGACTTTTTGTTGTTTAAATCGACTCCCTGGCAGGGAAATAGCTCCCCAAAGCCATTCCTGGTATGTGTGTAAATTCTCTCCAAATGGAGGGAAATTTCTCAATTAGGAAACTTTACCACGAAGTCTTCAGAAGTAACGGGATAGCAGGCAGCTACTGCCTTCCCCAGAAAGGTCACTGCTGGCCCCGAGGAGCTGACCCGAACCTCATCGTTTGACGAGAGAATGATCTAGACCTAAGCATAAAACCACGGATTCTCGTGGAAACAAGGTCACTTGGCCATGGCTGTGCCACCAGGAAGTCATTCTAACAATAGCACCTGAGCTCCCTGACATTCCAATAGTGAACCCAGCCACTTTCTTTCATTTAAAGAGCATGAGAAGAAACAGCCTGGACCATAACAACGCAGTAGAGGGTAAACTTTTGCCTTTTACTTACAGTTTTGTCTCAGATGAGAGCAAGTTGATGTAAACTGAAGATGCCACACTTTTCCCCAGGAAACACAGCTTTGCTATCAGTCACCCACCCGGCAAATGCTTTATTGCGAAACTCCCTTATCAAGATGGCATGCAGTAGACAGAGCTATTTTGAAAGTCAATGTCTCGCTCTTTTTGAAAGCTTCACTCTGTGTTTTTAGATGCAAGCTTCAAACTGTCATAGTTTTGTTGCTGTTGATAAAGCCGGCCTGGGATGAATGCCCAGAGGGTGGGCTGACCTGAAATTATGAGACAAAACTTGAATTAATTCTCTTGGTAGCTCAGGAAAAAAGGCAGAGAAGACACACTCTCTGAGCTGCACAAATAGATAATCCATAATTGTTGTTGCTCAATGAATGTCTTGCTTTCCTAGCTTTAATGGCATTTCTTACACACTTAGTATTTGCCAAGATAATATTTCTGCCGACATTTGAATCTAGTGGCCTCCAGGAGACTTCGCCAGCAGCATACCTCATGCTCTAAGTGCTAGCTGGCCATTTGTGTGAATATAGATATCGGAAATGAAAACAATTGGCTCTTCTTTAACAATGTTAGATATTTACACCCTAAACCTGTCCATTTTGAAAGGCAATTTTCAATAGAAATGTCCCTATTACACGTTAGCTACTTCAGAGCCCACAAAACATTCTCAAAACTTCTCAATAAATATTGTGGTCACATAAATGATCTCAGACACTCTAGACACTCTGTAAAATTAAACAGGTGCAGAGTGTTTTAGGGGGATGACTAAAGGGTTCTGGAATTAGGCAGTTGTGTTGCTTGTACAAGTTTGCGAATGTGCTAAAATCCACTGGATTGCACACCTAAGCACGGTGAGTTTTACGGTATCTGAATTATATCCCAATGAAAATAAAATTAACCCTTGAGACCAGCATGCCCACCATTTAAATCTACTAGCTATTTCATGTGGGACTTTAAGCCACACTTCCTTATACAGGGTTTTGTTTCTTAAATATTCCACTGGTTTAATCTAAAATTTCTGCTCATTTGAGCAATGAACTTGGGTTTTCCAGCTGTGAAGCATCACTTGTCAAGACATTTTTTAGACTGGTAGCCTTTTATTTGAAGAATCAGAATAAAATCTACAGTGTGCATGCTACACAGCGAGTGTAGGTATCCCTCACAGAGTGAGTGTTTCTCCAGCTCTCTGTTTGTTGATGAGAACCAGGCCACGGTGCAGAATCCATAGTTTGCTGTGGTTCACGATTCAAACTCTGAAAGCTACTGCGTAAGTCTCCCATACAGGGATCTGCATCCAGGCATCATGTTTTGCTGGTGTTGCTTCTAGACATTTCCAGAGATACAAGGGTCCCACTGTCAAGCCACTAATGTCTGAAGTGCTTGGAGAGTCCTACAGGTAGGAGGCTTAAACATTAAAGAATATCTAAAAGTAGAACTACCATTTGATCCAGCAATCCCACTACTGGTTATCTACCCAGCAGAAAAGAAGTCATTATTTGAAAAAGATACTTGCACATCCATGTTTATGGCAGCACAATTTAAAATTGCAAAATTGTGAAACCAAACCAAATGCCCCTCAATCAATGAGTGGATAAAGAAATGGTGGCATATATATACACACACACACACACACACACACACACACACACGTGTATATATATATACACACACATATATATATACACACACATACATATATATATATACACATATATATATGATGGAATCCTGCGTAGCCATAAAAGGAATGAATTAACAGCAATTTCACTGACCTGAATGAGACTGGAGACTATTATTCTAAGTGATGTAACTCAGGAATGGAAAACCAAACATTGTATGTTCTCACTGATGTGTGAGAACTAAGCTATGAGGACACAAAGTCATAAGAATGATACAATGGACTTTGGAGACTTGGGAGGAAGAGTGGGAGGGGGCCGAGAGATAAAAGGCTACAAATACGGCTCAGTGTATACTGCTCGGGTGATGGGTACACCAAAATCTCACAAATCACCACTAAAGAACTTACTCATGTAACCAAATACCACCTGTACCCCAATAACTTATGGAAAAATAAAATAAAGTAAACATAAATAAGTAAACACAAGTTGCACCTGCTGTGGGATCCAGGGGCTCACTTATCCTGTCTGTGTCTAGGGGTCCCCATGAGGAGAGCATTCCTTGCACAGAGGGTGGATCCGAGTCTCTCTGAGCAGGACCAAGCATGAAGAGTGTGAACCGCTCACCATCTACTCTGATGCTGATCTCCACAGAAGAACCCATGTCCTAATAAAAATCTTTATCTTTGTCAAAGACATTGATTCTATGAGGGTCAGAAGTTAAGTGTCATTTTAAGGGAGTGGGAATTTTCTGTAAAGACTGACAGCATGAAGCAGAGGCTGAGATGGCATCATTCATGAGCAGCCAGGCCTGGCTGCACGGGGAAACTGGGGGTCAGCGCTGAGGCCACGGTTTCAAGTCTCTCCCATAAGCCACCCAAAGACATATCTAAAGGATTCCAAGGCAAAGACAACACATTTTTTAGTGTCTTTATGCAACATCACATCAGGAGCAGAAGGCTATTTCATCTGAGTTATTACATACAATATCAATATGTTTTAAAGTCAAATGTCTTCTGTGAATGAAAAACTTCCTGAATGTCTGAGGTATATCAGGTTCAAAATGTTGTCTTCTTCACAACTATATGCCTCTATTTCTGCTGCCCCCCAAATGCACCTTCATCTCTTCTTACTAGAAGCTTCTCCCTGATTCTGGCTCCATGTTGAGGTAAAACCATTCACAGTTTTGATCGTAGGGTATGTGTCAGTCTATCCCACCATTTGGGCTCTACCCCTGTTCATGCTAAGCTGCCCTGTTGGATGCATGAGAAATTTGGTCTTCGGGACCCACTAGTTCCACAGCCCCCAGGCATCCCCCACATGCTTCTTTTCTTCCTTAGCATCCTCCACACACTCTGTCCTAGAGCCCACAGCCCTCTATGATGTGAAGCATCCTGTAGGCCTCAGCTGAGCCCTGGGATGCAGGTCAGGTAGCCCAGAAGACCGGGCACATCATGGCCAGAGTCCCATCAGAATTCCCATTGCATGAGGCCCAGAGGAGCATCTTTTAAGAACAGGCAACCGCCACGGGAGAGGTCGGCAGGTCAGCCTGAGGGGATGGCGAGCTGGCCACCTTCCGGCCCCTCACTCCTGTGTGAGCCTCCTGACGAGGAGAGCTTCAGGATAATGGTGGACAGGGCACTCCCTTCTGAAGGGAGCAGAGAACAGCAGCCTGGCCCGCGCCCATCCTGGTGATGACGGTTGTCATAAAGAAGGGAGGAGGCCCTGATACTGGCCTCTATGGGGCCCAAAAGGCCACTTGGATGCATGAAGACTGTGGCTTTGGGGCATGCAGAGGGCCTGCCATGGGGCAGGATCAGTGGAGTCAGGATGGGTGTGTTGGGTAGATGGCAGGGCGGAGTCCTCCACTGCTGTCATGGGCAGAGCTCAGCAGTTGGGGCCTGGTGGGGAGGATGCTGTAGGAGCTGCAAGGAAGATGACGAAGCGGAGCTGTGGTCCCCGCTTTGGCAGATGAGGGCAAGGAGGCCTGAGCAATGCCTTAGTTCTAGAGCAGTGACCACACATGTACCCTCAGCCAGCGAGTCCTGGGGAGATGTGCACACCATAAATGGGGGAACATGGAGAACACCCAGGAACGTATGATTCTCCATCCATTTATGCAGATCATGGTTCAGCGCCAGGCACTGAGGAAGGTTTCTGGATCTTATCTCCAACCAGGGACTCTGGAAAACCAGCAGCATGGGCGTGGGGCCACCATGAGACAAGAAACAAGAGCAGCATTTACTCTCAAGGAGAAGCTGTGAACAAGAGCACCAGTCCCAGCTCTTAAACACAGTGGTGAGTCCCGTCAGAAGGGTGTGTTGCAAAGGTAAGACCTCGAGAGCTTCACGAGGCAATAGGAAGGGTGAGATGCCCTAACTCCAGAAGAGCTGGCGTTTTCACCACGTTGGGACAAGTTTATACCTAAGAAAAGCAAAGAGACAGAGGGTAGAAAAACCCATGATGTAAATCAGTCCAATTGAAACCTAAGAGGAAAAGCAGAGAATGCATTCAGCTAAATTTGGGGCTTTTTAGGACACCTCAGACCATTTGTTCAAATGGAACACTTTCTCCAAAGTGTTCTTAAACAAACCACCTCTGGCTTCATGCAATGGACAGGAAGCATTAGGATCAGTCCTTTCTAATCCATCATGGCAGCCCCATAGAACTCTGCTTTATAAATGCTGAAGAACACAGCTGCTTAGAGCAGGTAAATTCTGATCATTCATAAGAAGATCAACTCCCAGTTGAGAAGCTGTTTGACTGGTTGTGAGCCACTTCAGAGGAGAACAAAGTGCATTTTCTCAGTGTGAATACGAGAGGGCTTTATACAGATTAAGGAGATCCGGATCCTAGGATTAGCTTTTGGGGTAGGCAGGACACAAACACCCTGGGAGTGTCAGCTTCCCTCTTGGCTGGGGAGATCACTCAGGGGCATTCCACTGGGAAACCCCCCAGGAGAAAAGCCCCCCGATGCAGCATAGGATATTGTCTGGGCGATGGGAACTCCTGTCACAAAACGCCTGTTTCCCCCTGTTGAACCCCTCACCTAGCCATGAGTGACCTACAAAATCTTCACGGACATACCATTTTTTAGTAACATTCCTCAAATAAAGGCTAAGCTAAAGAACCGCATAGACCCTTTCTGGTTCTTAATTTCCGTGAAAATCTATAACTTTATCAGTTTACAGCTTTGTGCACTTTCTGATACAACATGTAAATGATGTTTATTTAAAGGGTCAAAAAAAAAAAACAAGTTACTGTTATTTGAATAGGTGCTGACTGGAAATCAAGTCAATTGCGCCAAGAAAAGTCTTTCTGGGGAATAGTTTGCTTAAAAAAGAAAACAAAACAATTTTAAAATACAAGAATCTGTTTCTGCTGGAGGAGACACGGTCAAGGATGAAAACAGGTCTTAATTGTGCTAATTTTTCTCTCTTTGCTGTATATTAAATATGTGGTAATAAAGAACGTGCCTAAGCATGAATGGATGGGGGATTTTGATTCTACTCTGAGTTTACTTTCACTGTTTGTCAGCCTGACATCGGGGGAGAACAATAGAATTGCGAGGAATGACTTTAGAGAGTGCCATTTTACAGAAGAACAATATTCTAGAACAAATACATGTTTTTGGTAGTTGTAAGAAGATATTAAAATGGAGAGTTAATGAGTGTGCATCAAAAACATGAAACAATACAAGTGTGAACAGTTGGGGTACCCGGGAACACGAGATGATTTTATCAAACAGAGCGGAAGGCAATACTGACACAGTGTCCAAGTCAGAATGCAGCTTCTCAAGAATTCTATTTTACTTTTTTTTAACCACACCCCTGAATGTCCTAGTCTTTCAATATTGCAAACTAACATCAGTCAATAATTTTGAAAAATTAAAATTCTCAACTGTGGCGATACTGTTTGATATCATTACGGCAGGCTTTTCTAAGACATTTGGCACATTTTGGTCCTTCAAAACACTCCTCACATTCAACCACATGTAAGAATTCCTCAGTAATTTCAGTCATCTCCCCAAATCCTCAACTCTTTGCAGCTAATATCTGCAACCTGATTATTAACTATTAGTATTCAATCATCAATTACGAATGCCCCAGACTTAGCATCTAAGGTACCAGCCCAGTCTTGATGTTGCAGGATAGGAAAGATGGGTGAGGCAGAATTCATGAGCTACGGAATGATGAGACCAAGGTCCCAACTAAACTCCTAGCACTGTGATTGGTCTCCAAGCTGACCTTCTGCTCCTTTTTATTCTCCCACATTCTTCATATCTACCAGAAGTGTCGGTTGAACTCACTGCTCCAAATTGGCCCAGCTCAGTGGCCACTTCCTCAAATGACCCCTCCTGACCACTGCACCGCAGTTGTGGCCTGAAGCTGTTGTATCACCCAATACTTTGCTTCCATCCCACTTGTCACCATCCATTAGTATTGATGATAATGTGTTCCCGCATGAGTGGGCCACACTTTTTCCCCACCTCCAGGACAATGTGGCATCCTCCTGGACCCACCACTAACCAGGGGTCTGTTGTGCTACTTAAACAATCTGGACAATGTCACTTGGTTCATCTATATCCTGGGAATTCAGACAGCGTCTATTTCAGAAAGCTGGGGTTATTTCTATAACACTGTGCAACCACCAATGTAGAATACTCTTTAATTTAATCTTTCTACTACTAGTAGCAATTGTCTTAATAACACATACTTATAATCAATTAATCATTCTGTTTACAGATAAAGTGGTTTTGACTGAACCCATGGAATGGGAAAAAAAAAAACAGGGCACAAAGAACTAAAGTATCAATATCATGATGAACAGGGAAAATACATAATTTTTGTGTGTATGAAATAAAAATCACAAATCCAACACAATTTCAAAAAAGGACTAAAAAATTCTGGCCTGCATTGAGTATCGCTGAACTGAGTGGTTGCTCCCCATCTCATCAAAGCTGCCTCCTTACTCCTGCTTCGGAAGCTGCCTGAAATCTTGTCACCAAAGTCCCTTGTACATAGGTTCCTCTAATCCCATGACTTTTCAAATTACTTTACAGACGTATTCATCACTCAGTCTTTTAGAAACAGGGAACATGAATTCTGTCAGAAACAGTCTTTGGAATTCACAGCCTGGAGGCTCCACGAAGCTGGGCGGCTTCATCATGGACACCCCGTCTCATCCGTATGGTGCCGCTGCCTGCCATGTGGGTGTGATCCTGCTGTGATGACAGCGCTACTCCTGCACACGCAATCGGGGTGTTTGCACTGAGACTTTCAGGGTTGGTTTTTAAGTGAAACTATGTGTCAAGGGCAATCTTTAGAAAGTTCTGCTGCCAGTTCTTCAACAGGAATGATTTTATTTTTGTTCACTTAAAGGCAGCAATGTCTTGTCTGTAACAACAGAGACTAAAACAGTAGTAGGCTTAGCTGTGTCCATGGTAAGTCCTCAGCGACTACTATGGAGGAAGCTTTGACCTCTGTGCAACATATATTTGCTGTGGCTGTGCAGGAATGTCGGGCCACAGCGGTGACCTAGTCCTTGTGTGGGGATGTGGATGTAAGGGAAGGCTGGGCTTGGGCAGGTTTTCCTGGCTGCCATATGGGAGTCTGTCGGTGTGCTCAGGGCCCCACATTTGTGCAAGCAGCATGGAGATGCTCATGTTCCTGGTTGCAGTACTTATGCATGGGGTGGGATGCCTGATATTCCATAGGCCTGGTTTGGAGAGAACATCAATTACCCAGATATAAGCACAGCTCTGGCTCTAATTATTTCTCAAAGGTTAAAACATGTTGTCCTGTGTTTTGTGGTATCTGTGTCGTGAGTCTTCCCTTACTTTCTACAGCTTTCAAACGTGTTGATTTAAGGTAGCCCAGGGACCATCCTAGAAGCACAAGAAAACAGAAGCAGCTGGAAGTGGGCCCAGCCCTACGACCTCCTAAACCGTGCACTGCTTCTGGGAAGCTGGGGTCGGGGAGTGGTGAGTGGTGCAGGCAAAGCACCCTCCGGAAACACTCAGCCCCTCTCCGCTTTGGTGATGTTTAACTCTCTGCAAAAAGTTGTTCCTTTGTGTTCTTCCAACCCTCCTCTTTTTCCCTTCATCCTGCAAGACCAGTGGCTGCTGTTTATAATCTGTTATGGACAAGGCTCTGCATTCACCACAGAGATCGTCAAGGCTGCATGGCACATTCCAACCTTTCCATCTATACTTATAAACTGTAGAAAAAATGATATTTTTTGCAATTAAGTATGCGTTGGTCTGTCTCTTTCAGAAATATTTGTGAGTATTACGGTGTTGTTAGAATAAAGGCTTCTGTTTATTCTAAGAGAGAAGCTATGTGGGTGTTACACGAACATCATTCCTGGCATTTGCCTGTTTCCCTAGATGCAAAAACACAGGGCCTAGGCATGGCCCTGGACTTGCACCACCCGTATTCTGCAGCTGATCGCATCTGCCATCGTCGCCTTACTAGAGATGAGTTTTCACTTTCGGGTTTTTATAGCACCTCATATTTTAGGGTATTAACCCCTTACTGCCATGTTTTCAGAGAACATGAAGATCCCATCCGTAAGCATCACTCTGGCCTCCTTGCATAGGGAACAAAACACAAAAAAGAAAGGAAAGAAAGAAAGAAGGAAAGAAAGGAAAGGAAGGAAAGATGGAAGGAAGGAAGGAAAAAAGGAAGGACAGAAAGAAGGAAGGAAGGGAGGAAGGAAGGAATGAAGGAAGGAAGAGAGAGAGAGAAAGAAGAAAAGGAAAGAAAGAGAGAAAGAAAGAGAGAAAGAAAGAAAGAAAGAAAGAAAGAAAGAAAGAAGAAAGAAAAGAAAAGAAAGAAAAGAAAAGAAAAGAAAAGGAAAGAAAAGAAAAGAAAAGAAAAGAAAAGAAAACAGCTCGCTCCCTGCATCTGGCCGGCCAATAGGAAGACAAGAACAGTAACTAGGAAGCCGAGTGGCCTCTGGAAGTCTCAGGAGTCCAGTGGTTCCACAAGATGCCTCAGATTGTCAGTTTTGCCCTAAAATTAACAAGAAAGGGTGACGAGGATGCACCCACATAAGTGGGTCCACTGGTCCTGCAGAGTGAAAAGGTCATGTGCCCTGCCCTCCTGGAGCCTCTGAATTCTATGCAAGCCATCACCTGTCCAACACAGGGGCTTCCTCATCTGCACATAAGGGTAATAATCCCACAGGCATCTCGGCTTCGTTCTAAAGTTTTCACGAATGTGCCCGTGCAGAACGTGTGGCATGCATCAGGTTAAGCTACTGGTTATGGAAGGTTCTGGAGACATGCTGCAAAGTCCGAAATTGAGGGAACCGGGGTACACATCAAATACACTTTATCATTTTATGACTCACTCCTGGTTTGTTAATTCCCCAAAAAATGAAAGAGGAAAACAAAGGTCAGGAATGATAACGGTGAGTAATTGGTCTATATTCCACACCAGATATGATATGAATTCCTTTCATTCTAAGAATTTGGATAAGAAAAAGGTATTTTAAAGAATATTCAGATAGCCCTACTCTGATATCTCATGCAATTCACCCAGTAATCACAGGTCACCTTAAAAGTCAATGTTGTTGCAAAAACTTTATACGAAGACTCCATAGATATACATATACTAATACAAACAAAAATAGATTCTGCTGAATGATTAGGGGCATTGTAAATGTGTTGGTACCTCGATGTTCATTGTTAATAAAACATTTATCAGAAGCTATTAAATGGAAGATGAATCTAACAAGTTTTATGCATTTTAAAATTGCTAAATAAATGCCCTTTGAACAAAAAATGTGATGCTTCTGAATAAAACAAGAATTAAAGAAAAGTGGTATGATTGGGTGGTATAAGAATACACAGAACAGGCAGCTGGGCGTCTCACTCGAGACAGAGAAATTAGACCTACGACCAGGACATGCCTTTAGAGCTCTTTGCAATCTCTCCTATTTTAAGTCGCTCAAAAGGATTTGTCTAGAAATGAAAAGGAAAAACATATAGAAAATATAGTAAATGTACACTTTCCGAGGAGGGGTATGTGCCACCTGGGTCCCTTTGGAAAGAAAGACGAATGGAGAACTTTCAGCAAGAGGCTTTGCTAAATGCCGTTTTCTTCACCAGAAGAGCATCCCTCAGAGCCAGCTCCGCTTTCTTGGCCACCTTCTCCCATCGCAGTACTCTTAGCTGCCATGCCTTTATCGCTGTATGCGTTTCTTTTACCAATTTAAAATATTAAGGAGCTAAAGTTTAAGCACAAATATAAACAATTGCTCTTAAGGGTATTTTAGTAACACACCTTTGTGGTTGTTTGTGTGTTTTCTAGTCCAAAAAAAAAAAAGTGGTTTTCTCCAGCTTTGAGTATTTAGAAG